>NC_000024.10:8746504-9046914 GCF_000001405.40 Homo sapiens | reverse complement strand
AAGCTTTGGCTAATATATCCCTCCCTAATAAGGGTGTGAGACTTTCAGGCATAACAAGAAAGGAATGTGAAAGGAGCAAAGTCTCCCAAATACAACTGAGGTGGTGGGAGAAATACCTGGTTACAGGCTGTCCCAGGATTCCTTGGATGGTAATGGACCTTGAGGACAGTCATCTGTGACAGGAGATTAACACTGAGAAGGCTGCACCAGTGTCTAGGAGGAAGTCAATTTCCTAGTCCTTAATGGTTAAATGTACCCGGGGCTCAGTGAGGGAGATGATATGAGCTGGTGCTTCCCTAGTCACCCTCAGTCCTGTTGTTGGTTCATCTGGTTGGGGGCTCCTGGTCCAGAGAACCTTTGCCCTCTGAGGCAGTGTGCCTTCTAGTGATTGCCTCAGCATTGTGCATATGGATGAGGGAGTGGCCTTTTTCTCATTGGACAATCTTTTTAAAAATGTCCTTATAAACCACACTTGTAAAAAGCCCTATCAGGTGATTGGCCTGCTCCATTTTCTGTCCTCTCTGAACCACCAAGATTTGTTTGCCTGAGGCCATCACTAAGGCTGTGGCCTGTCTCTGATCTCGCTTTTCCTTTTGGGCCTGTTCCTCTTGGTCCCTATTACAGAATACCGAGGTTGCCAGGTTTTATAATGCCACCAGATGGCAGAGCTTGCAGTGAGCCAAGATGGTGACACTGCACTCCACTCCAGCCTGGGCAACAGAGAAAGACTTTGTCTCAAAATGTAATAATAATAATAATAATAATAATAATAATAATAATAATGCCTCCAGATTTTGTTCAGGGCCCAGGGCTTGCTTTTGGAATTTTCTCCTGATATCTGTGGCTGATTGGGTAATAAATTTATCTTTTAGAATCAACTGACCCTTGAGTTAGTTGGGTGACAGGGCAGTATATTTTCTTAAGGCCTCCCACAGCTGCTCAAGGAAAGCAGAAGGATTTTCTTCTTTTCCCTGAGTTAAGTTGGACATCATTGAATAACTCATGGTTTCTTCCTAATTCTCCTTAGTCCTTCTAGAACACAGGTCAATAGATATTTATGACTCCCAGTCCCCATGATCTGAGTCAATTTCCCAGTGGGGATCCATACAGGGAATGTCTTGTTGAATGGTAGGGAATTTGAGCCTTTCTTCAGCTGTCATTCTATTATTTACTTGACTAAGACAGCAAGTATCTCCAAACTCTCAGGCTGCAGCTAAAGCCACAATCTTTTCATTAAAGGCCGGGGTTTGATCTAACAATAGCATGATGTCTCTCCAAGTGAGATTGAAGGTTTGCCCTAGACCCTGTAGGACATCTATGTACCTATCAGGATCATCTGAAAACTTCCCCAGGTTTGCCTTGATCTGCTTTAAATCAGAGAGGGAGAAGGGGACATGTGCCCTGGTTGGGCCAAATTCCCCTCCCCTTATAGCTTGAAGGGGACATAACTAATAGCCTGGGGGTTTTTGTGGTCCTTTGGAGATTTCTTTTCTTGTTTCCTTCTGGGCAAGGGAGATTAGCGGAGGCTGGGTATGAAGGTAACCTGAAAGGTCCTCCTCTAGGATGTAAATTGCAAGCTTTGCATAGTTGTGTATTCTCCTTCAATGAAAAGAAAGCTTGGACATAAGGCATTTCACTCCATTTGCCTTCCCTCTTACAGAAAAAGTCAAGCTGCAGGATAGTATTGTAATTTATACTTCCCTCAGGTGGCCATTTTTCCCCATCAGAGAGAGAATATTGGGGCCAGGCCATAGTGCAGAAAAAAATGAGCCTCCTGCTTTTCAGGGTTTGTGGGTCATATTGGTCCCAGTGGCTTAAGATGAATTCCAAGGGTGAGCCTGTTGATACCTGAGAGTTTCCCATCTGAAAGACAAAACAACCAGCAGTTTTGGTTTGTCTGTTTCTCCCCCTGCCCAAGAACCCACAATGGTCCCTGGACCCTGCTGATCAGAATAGTTGTGCTCACCAATGCAGCAGCAAAAACACCTCTTGCCCAAGAACCCACAACAGTCCCTGGACCCTGCTGATCATAATAGTTGACTCACTGATGCAGCAGCAGAAACACCTCTTGCCCAGAAACCCACAATCGTCCCTGGACCCTGCTGATTGGAACAGTTGCACTCACTGATGCAGCAGCAGAAACATTAGTTTTCCTCCTAGACCACAAACAGGACTGAGAAAGGTTGGATTTAGTGGCCCTTACTGACACATTCTGAAAAACCTGCAACTTTGCCTCTCCTCCTAGGGTGGCAAAGGTGCAGGGGACCAAGAAAAATTGGATTTAGTGGCTCCTACTGACACATTCTTGAAAACCTTGTAGAGTCCTAAGCATTCTCCTGTTAGTATTGGGATCTTACAACTGTCCTATAATGATGTTAGGCCCCAAATATGAAGTGGGGGGCCATACCCTGAGTAAGGGAAGGGATCTCAAGAGTTGGAAGAGTGATGCCTTTTGTCTTCATATGAATAGGAAAGATACCATTTCTGAAGCTCTTCATATCCTAGCTTCAGGAATTGCTTATTTTAGGCCTGCCAGTCTAAGGAAGCATCCTAAAATTCCAGATAGTAACCCTAACCCCTGATGGGGCTTTGGGCAAAAATTATGTCTTTCTGATTGGTGAGCCTGGGTAGCTAAAGAAGGTAAAAGCACCCTGAAGTTTATACTAGAAATCATTCTTATAGGATAAACTAGAAAACACCAGTGACAAGGAGTGGTTTTTAGAAGCAGGACTAGCCTAGGAGAAGAAAGGCAAGAGGAAGTTTGACAAGCATTAGGACCCAGGAGGCAAGCATCAGGATAGATAGGATAGATGGGCGAGTCTCGCTTGGGCGACATGACTTTGAGAGTTCTGCTCATGGCCACTGGGTCCACCAACTTGTTGGGACCCCAGAACTGAATGGCTTTCCTTTCTGTTGACCCCTGGCTCATCCCAGAAGTACAGGAAGAGCAGAAGTTGGTTCCAGGCAAACCAACACTCCCAACTCCAAAGAGTCTGGGTTTGTTAGAGAGCCTTTTCCCAGAAAGCCTGACACTCACGTCTTTAGTCTGGTGGCCATGCTAGTCACTTTTAACAGTTCAACAGGTGCCCAGTATTTAGTCTCTGAATTCTAAGGAAAAATAGGACAGAATAGCAAGTGAAAGGGGTCCGATGGTATTCACCGCTTGGTGAGTGTCCCATCGGGATCAACAAAGTATGTCCAGAATTGGTTGCTTCTGGTGAGTTCTTGGTTTCACTGACTACGAGAATGAAGCCATGGACCCTCGCAGTGAGTATTACAGTTCTAAAGATGGTGTGTCCGGAGTTTGTTCCTTTAGATGTTCAGATGTGCCTGGAGTTTCTTCCTTCTGGTAGGTTTTTGGTCTTGCTGACTTTATAAGTGAAGCCGCAGACCTGGGCAGTGAGTTTTACAGCTCTTAAAGGTGGCATGTCCAGAGTTCTTTGTTCCTCCTGGTGGGTTTGCTGTCTTGCTGACTTCAGGAATGAAGCCACAGACCCTCGTGGTGAGTGTTACAGCTCACAAAGTTAGTGCAGACCCAAAGAGTGAGCAGCAGCAAGACTTATTATGAAGAACAAAAGAATGAAGCTCTCACGGAGTGGAAAGTGACCCAAGCAGGTGGCTGTTGCTGGCTGGGGTGGCCAGATTTTATTGTTTTGTTTGTTCCCACCCACGTTCTGCTGATTCGTCCATTTTATAAAGTGCTGGTGGTCTGTTTTACAGAGTGCTGATTGTTGTGTTTACAAACCTTTAGCTAGACACAGAGCACTGATTGGTGCCTGTTTACAGAGTGCTGGTTGGGGCATTTGCAAACTTTCACCTACACACAGAGTGCTGATTGGTGCATGTACAATCCTTTAGCTAGACAGAAAACTTCTGTAAGTCCCCACTCGACCCAGGAAGTCCAGGTGGCTTCACCTCTCACAACCATTAAGACAATTAAATCAGGAAAGTGACAGGATTAAATTTGTGCTTGTAAATAAATATTTTGCCATTACAATTACCAATACTAACCCTGTATTTCCTGATTTGGTAGTTATATGATGGTAATTTGGGAGAGTGTTTCCACTTTTGTTAAAACACAGTGGGATACTTTGAATGAAGCTGCAAATATGGCACAGCAATAACCAGTTGGGAATCTGGGAGAAAGGATAAAGTATACTAACTGCTATTTCACATTTCCTAGAGGTAGAAAATTGTTGGGAAGTAAACTCCTTTTTAATAAAAACAACCATGTCAATACCATGTCACTAAAGCAGAGACAACAACATCAAACTCCATTAAAGGAGCCAAATCCAGCTTCAGTGGAAGCTGTGAAACCAAGTGCCTTTGTAAGTGTAGGAATGTTATATCAGTATTGCAGGTCTTACATCTGTATGACAGGGTTACCTCAGTACTTATGGGTGTTACATCAGTGTTATGGTTGTTCTATTTGTATTACAAATGTTACAGTAGTATTATGAGTGTTATATTAGTATTACAGGTGTTACATCAGTATTACAGTTGTTACATCAGTATGAAAGTTGTTATATTTGTATAGTGGATGGTATATTGGTATTATGAGTGGTATGTTGGTATTATGAGTGTTGCAATTCTATTACAGGTTTCAAGACAGCATTATGGATGTTACATCAGTGTTATGGATGTTTTATTTTTATTGTGAATCGACACTGGTATTATGAGAGATAGAGTTCTATTAAGGGTGTTAGATCAGTATTATGGTTATTATATTTGTATTGCAGATGTGATATTGGTTTTCTGAGTGTTTTATTGTTGTTATGAGTGTTACAGTTGTATTACAGGTGTTAGATCAGTATTACAGGTGTTACATTAGTATTACAAGTGTCACATCTGTATTGTAGGTAATGTATTTGTTTATGGATGTTGTATCTCTCTATTGTAGATGTTATAATTGTGTGATAAATGCTATAGTTGTGTCACAAGGCCACGAGGCCTTGGCGCACACCTGGCATTGTGGCCATCACACCTTGGGTGTGGGGAAAGACCTTGGGGTGCACTAGAGCTGTAGGATTTTTTTGTTTCTAATTTTCCACACAAAGGCCTTCTAGTGGGCCCCTGATCCTCAGCAGTTAGAGGAAGGTTTTCACTTATTTCTGCCTCCTACTGTCCTGGAGTGAGGCAGTATGGCTGGGGTCTGTGCTGAGGAGAAGGTAGCTCTTGTCCTCAGGTGGCATGCATTGAACACGTGGGCCCTCCCAGGGTCAGAAAAGGTAGTCTCATGTGCCCCGTCTGGCTGCCGGCAGAACTGCAGGACCCAGGTGGTCATGGTGGGGCAGCTATGCATTCTCTCCTGACTGGCCTAAGGCACCAAATAAAAGCAGACTTCAGATTGTTCAGCACCATCATTTTGGAAATTCCATCTGAAATGCTGCTATTATCCTGGGTTTTTTTTGTTGTTGTTTGTTTTTTGCTGAAAATGATGAAGAGACCATTAACCGGAAACCACAGGCAATGAAATGAACAGAGATGGCACATTTTACAACTTACACAAAATTTTTCTCAACATAGTTCTGAGACTTAAAGTGTAAAACTATTCAAATTATAGAAGAAACCACAGAAAGAGACCTATGTGACCTTGGGTTTGGTCATGAGTTTTAATATATGACACCAAAGCTTATCCATAACAGAAAAATTAATTAACAATGTAGGCCTTCTCATATTAAAAGTTTATACTCTGCATAAAATCTTGTCAGGAAACAAAGATAAGCCACAGTCTGAGGAGAAATATCTGCAAATTACAGATCTAAGCAAGACTTTGCTCTGAAAATATGCAAAGAAATATTGAAACTCAACAGTAAGAGAGACTATCCAATTAAAAATGGGTAAAGAGCTGAGCAGATACCTCATCAATGAAGATACACAGATGGCAAGCAAACAAAAAGATGCTCAATCTTGTATATCCTTAAGGGAGTGACAGTTAAAACAATGAGATATGGCCTGTCTATATTTGCTAGAACTGTGAAATTGTTTTTAAAACATGACAAATGCTTTGCTGAAGGAAAGACAGGAATTCATTCACTGGTGGTGGAATGCATAATGGTACAGAAAAAAAATAACTCTTTTAAGTCCTCAAATTAATTTGAAATACTGTTTCTGTTCTCTACCATGCACAGAAGTGGCTCTCTACCTAGTCTACTTGTTGATGACAGCCCCAAGATCCAATATGATCTGTGCATCTGTCAGCAGCAGTTGGGATCCAGGCAGAAGGCAGAAGGCTCCCACAGTCAAGGTCATCTAAGAAATTTTTAATAAAGGGTGACTTATTCAGGGTATCCACAAATAATGGCAGTGTTCCCTGGGAGAGTAACAGGGCCACAGTGTTAGCACTCTTTGGGAATGGAAGATCAGAGAAGGGAGAAATTCTCAGCACTGGAGAGAGGGAGGTGGTGAAGAACAATTGGAAGAGGCCATCACAGACACTATGACCTCACTTGGCCTTGAGATGCAGCAGCCAGTCTAAGGCCACTATATGTGGAGGTTGGTGTGTCCAGTGGCCAAACCCAATCAGCAGACAGAGGCCCAGGAAAGCCTGGATACCACCTAGAGGCAGGTTAGCAGAGTTTAATCCAGTAATCTTAATTTTATAAATCTTCCCAATTTAAGCCTCCCCTTACAGGTACAAAGCGTAGTTTTATAATGCTGACATAACATAAATTACTAAAGCATGCAGGCCATGTGCGGTGGCTTATGCCTGTAATCCCAGCACTCTGGGAGCCCAAGGTGGGTGGATCACTTTTGGTTAAAAGTTTGAGACCAGCCTGGCCAACATCGTGAAATCCTGTCTCTACTAAAAAATACAAAAATTAGCTGAATGTGGTGGTGCATGCCTGTAGGCATGCACCACAGCTACTAGGAAGGCTGAGGCAGGAGAATTCCTTGAACCCAGGAGGTGGATAATAGATATATGATTTAGGAGACACAAGTTTTCATTTCTATTCTCTTCCACTTGTCATTTAAGTAATTTATTTTGTGTCAGAAACTCCCAGTTTCTCTTCTTTTAGTAGTGAATAATCACGCATCTCTTTAACCTTTTCATTAAGCATACGTTTTTGTTTTGTTATTGCCAAATAGTGGGCTTTGAGAGACCCTAACTGAAAATTAACTTAATATATATACATATAAATTTAAATTATACTTATATGAATATATTTTTATTTATAAATTATTGTTTATAAATATAAATTTGTATTTCAGAGTCATATATACATATACATATATATACTATATACACACACACACACACACACACACACACACACACACATATATATATGTCCAGGTGTGGTGGCTCATGGCTATAATCCCAGCACTTTTGGAGGCCAAGTTGGGTGGATTACGAGGTCAGGAGTTTGAGACCAGCCTGTTCAAGATGGTGAAACCCCATCTCTACTAAAAATACAAAAATTAATTGGGCATGGTGGTGCATGCCTGTATTCCCAGCTACTCTGGACGCTGCAGTTGCAGTGAGCCAGGATCATGCCATTGCACTACAGCCTGGCAACAGAGTGCAGATTCTGTCTCAAAAAAAAAAATTATAATTGAATAATGACTTTACAGCACTGCAAAAGTACAAACTGGCAGGCTCCTTTAAGCATTGTGTCACAATTTAACTAAGGTGACTAAACAGAGGTCTGATTCTCTGCAATAAGTCCCTAACTACACAACAAAAATTATCTTCTGCCCTAGAGTTGGGGCAGAGGAAGTTTTATAGACCACATCCAATAAAGCAAGTTCTTCTAAGATTATCATCACATTTTCAAGAGACAACCAAAACCCCAAAACAATCACACATCATATAAATATATACATATTTTAAATATGAAAATATAAGGTAAAAATGGCCAGGCATGGTGGCTCATGCCTGTGATTCCAACACTTTGGGAGGCCAAGATGAGAGTATTGCTTGAGCTCAGCTGTTCCAGACCAGCTTGGGCAACATGGAAAAACCCCATCTCTACTAAAAATACAGCAGGGCACTGTGGCCCATGCCTGTAATCCAAGAATGTTGGGAGGCCAAGATGTGTGGATCCATTGAGGTCAGAAATTTGAGACCAGCCTGGCCAACATGGTGAAACCAAGTCTGTAAAAACAATACAAAAATTAGCCAGGTGTGGTAGCAGGCGACTGTAACCCAGGCACTTAGGTGGTTGAAGCAGGAAAATTGCTTGAACCTAGGAGGCAAAGGTTGCAGTGAGCTCAGATCACGGCATTATATGCCAGCCTGGGTGACAGAAGGGACTGTATCTTGAAAAAAATAATAAAAAAAGCAATACACAAACTGCCGGGTGTGGGTGAACATGACTATAATCCCAGCTACTCGGGAGGCTGAGACACAAGAATTCATTGAACCTGGAAGGTGGAGGTTGCAGTGAACCGAGGTCTGAGATCATGCCTGTGCACTCCAGCCAGGGTGACACAGTAAGACTCTGCCAAAAAAAAAAATCTATAACATGTTGTGTAGTGCTTTATTTTTTTGGGTATACTATGTCTCATATTTGAGTACAAAATCCCACAAAGTTCTCACATAAGTTAAATTGGCAAAATTAATTTTATATACAAAATATGTTGTAAATACCTAAAGTTCCAGATGCATCCTTCAGACAGCAAGCTCAGGAATGAAAAGTAAAGAAGAAATGGCATGTAAAAATGCACCTCATTTTGTTTTAATCTGTAAGATAACAATGTATCAACAGGAACTTTTACCTGCTACTTTTGGAAGGAAGAGAACAGGCTGATGTAGACCAGACCAATAATAGTATTGGCCACCTGCTGTGAAGTAGGCATTTAAGTTACCTCACTGAATTCCTTCAACAACCCTATAATGTGAAAAATATCCTAGCGTTTACATTTCAGGACCCTGCAGTCATAGAACCTACCCAAAGGCACACAAGCAATTAGACACACATACAGGATTCAAGCAGGACCCTAGGACTCAAAGCACTATCTATGCTTTCCTATGTGATATTGATTGAAATTCAGAATTATTGAATTAACTTCAGACATCACCCTCTTAGTCATATTAATGGCAGTCCAAACACCTCAAGAGGTGACTTGGGATAAATTTTGTATGACCAAAATTTCATATACTGGTTAAAATCTATTTCAAAAAACAATATGCTTAACAATTACCTTAAATTCTTTCATACAATTTACAGATTGATTGAGTTCCTCCTTCTTTACATTAATAGCTAGGAGCTCCACTTGCAAAGAAACAGCTTTTCCTGAAAGAGTGAGCCCATTAAACACCATGTTTTCCCAGTGAATATAAAAGCTATTTAATATTCATGGCCAGTATGTCAGACCTAATGATCATTATTTTATAATATGAGATAGCATATATAGGGATAAAACATTCATGGGCAAGTGAGAACTAAACCCTGTTACCCAACAGTGTTTGTGATGCTGTAGATGTCATGTATGTCATGACATTTCACCTGCTACACACTTTAAGCAGAGTTACGCCATCTACTCAGAGCATAAGGCCCTAATACCCATAGTTCTTAACTTCCTTGAAGATAAAGACCTGTCTGTTATTATATTGTAACAGTCAATATTGTTACTGTATTAAAGTTATTATTTTGTCATTTTCATTTCATCTGTCATGAATCTCTGTAGATATATCATCAAAGTACAGTTTATTACATAGATGATGGTACTAACCCATAAAAGAAGAGTTAGTCTCCACAAGATAGTAGTAAAAGGAGAAGCCACACATTGGGTGTCTGGTCAACATCAAATACCCATCCTTGGTTCACTCCTAAGAATCTATTTGAAATTTCTATCAAAACTTCACTTCCTATTATAGGCAATTTCCTAGAGATACATTGACATGTAAAATGTCAGAAGATTGAAAAATTACTCATCTTTCAGTCTCAGTCCAATATATACAAGAATTCAGGAGGTTATATATCAAGTAAAATATTACAAAGAAAAATATATTAGAGGTCAATGAAATAAGAAATTACTCCACATGGGATAGAGAAGTTAAAATTTTCTGTAAGTGAAAAACAAAGTATCTCATGGTTAGGATTAATATATACCAGAGGCAATAAGTTACTGCCAACTTCTGGACAATTACACATTTATCAAAATATCTTGAAATCAAGTTGAGTAAAATATCCAGGATAAATCACAGGCCTTTCTGAATGCATATAATACTAAACATGAGGGTTTCTCAAAAGGCAGTGAAGACGATAATGTTTTTAATTTTATATAATTAGAATTACAAAAAATGTGTAATTTTATGGGGACAATGAAGTATAAGCTATATTTTTTAGAATATGGGACAGGAGCAGACCCAACTTGGGAAGCTAATAAACTTTATCAGAACTGAAAAATACAGCTTCTTTCCCCACCCAAACATCACCTTTATTCTTCCTTTCATCTTCGATCTGTCCATTAGTTCTAATGATGTGGTCCTCCTTTAGTTCAAGTTGATACATGTGAATCAGAACGACTAAATATGAGTTCCTCAGTTATCTTTCTGGAAAGACCATTATCAATGTAGATAATCTATGGCAGAGGTGCACCTGAGGGCATTGAACACGACATACTGTAAACTTCAAAGTCCCTGAGTACTAAATCCAGGGATCTAACTTCCGAAAATAAAACGTCCGGTAAAACTTTGCCTTGATGCTATAAAGCTTACTCACACAAAATGGAGGGTCGTGTTGCTATGAGGTTACTGAAAGCATCACTTTTCAGTTGGTCTCAGCTGACCCAAAGAGCACAGAAGAAAATTAAATTTACAGATCACATAACAGACTCAATCCCAAATGATAATTAGACAGTCACTTCCAATCCACTTGTCGTATCTGCCCACCCCAAACCAATGAAACAACTTTTGTGCCCAGGGACTAAGCACCGTCCTGGGAAACACGTGCCAAGAGCATTATATCTGAATTAGCAATACCCATATGCACATTTTCAAATTTTCACTTTTCTTTCCCAGCTGTAACAAGCTTCCCTTCTGGTTCCACAAGGACAAAGAAACACTCCTGTGGTGAACAGTTTCCAAACTCCAACACTTGCCAAAGTCGTATGAGAATCGCCAAAGCCAGACAGACCCCATGCAGACCATAGAAGCTGTAACTATGATACCAAATAGTTCACTAGCTGCACAAGAGTATAAAATTAACACACATACTTTAATTCATTTATTCCTAAAATTTCAGTAAAGAACGTTCCATGTTTGCTATTTTAGTATAGAAACTGACACAGAGAATGTGGGTAAAATACATCATTTCAGAATTGATTAAAAAAAACTGTCCAATAAAAAACAGAATTAGTTTGAAGAATAACCTCAATAAATGTTTGCAAGTATTATGTAATGGAATATTGATGGTAAATTATGAGGAAGGCAATAAAAATAGACCACGTAAATAAATGCCCAGAGCACGTGAGTTGAGTCCTTTCCTCATGACACATTCATGACAAATATTAACTGAGCACTTTTTATGTGTCAGAGGCTTTCACACCCACTGAAAATTACCACATGAACTAGCGTCTTAGCACTGAGATATTACTCACTGATACAAAAATTCAGAGTAAAGAAAAGCCAAAGTAGCAAAAGTTGTCTATTTTTTCCTTTCCCCATATCACATTTTCCTCACAGTTAATTTTAGCTCTTTTCTTTTGATTCTGGCTTTGCAGAATCATAAAGGAATACAAGGCACATGGACACTGACAAATACTATGACCACTATGTATAATTTATATATTGTTAGATATCCCCATCTTTGTGGCAGTATGAGTGGGATAGAGGAAAAGGTGACTAAAAGTGATTATATTTCAACTTTTGCTACTTATCAACTATGCAACCTGAGCAAGTTACAAGGTGCCCTGAAAGTTAAAGAAAATTACAGCCCTCAACAAATGTTAGAGATTCCAAGAGTAATAAGAAAAGAGGGTGTGCTTCTCTATAGCTTATCTTTTAAAAACTACCTTAACTCAAATGCAGGAAAGTATTGGCTATTGATAAACATATATATTTTTTCAAACACTAAAGTTTGCATAAGATATTAATCACAGACTATTTCCTCAGGTTTTGTTATACTTCTACCAAGTTAGTTTATACATGTTACTTCTTTAAAAGTGCCAAACAATTACTTTAGAAGTTTGCTCCTGAGCTTTCTGTCATAGCTCTCCTCAAGGGACTTTGTATTCTGCTCCCATCTTCCAAGTCCTCAGTCATGCTGTTATGTTTTTCTGTAGCTTCTGGTTCAGAAATTAGCAATAAATAAATAAATAAACAAATAAATAAATAGAGTAAATGAACCATAATAACTGAGTTAACAAATTTAGGAAAAACATCATGTGACATGCTTTTAGTTTAACAGACTAAAACTGCTACATGACTATTACTGCTGGGAAATAGAAGAAAAGAGCCAGAAGTCCTCAGCGTATTTTATGAACTGACCTGGTTACAGTGTGTTAAAACCAGCAGAACCAGGGGGCTGTGGCATCTGACCGAGAAGAGTGGGAGAGTCTCTGACTAAGGGAAGTGGGAGAGTCTCAAAAGGGAAGTGGTTTCTCATGGTAGATAATTAACACTTAAACAATAGTTATAGATGATAAATGGCCAAAATGAATTCCGGGATGAAAGAATGACACTATTAGTTATGAACTAATAAAAGTGCACTTATGGGCTGGACTTTTTGGCTCATGCCTGTAATCCCAGCACTTCTGGAGGCCAAGGTGGGTGGATCACCTGAGTTGTGGAGTTTCAGATCAGCCTGGAAAGCATGGTGAAACCCTGTCTCTACTTAAAATACAAAATTAGCTGGGAATGGTGGTTCATGCCTGTAATCCCAGCTACTCAGGAGGCTGAGGCAGGAGAATCACCTGAAACCAGGAGGTGGAGGTCGCAGTGAGCCAAGATTGTACCATTGCACTCCAGCCTCGGCGACAAGAGTGAAACACCATCTCAAAAAAAAAAAAAAAAAAAGAAAAAGTATACTTATATACCTGAATCTTCTATAATGCTGTTTCTAACTGTGGGGTTCAATTAATTAGTCCATAGATATTTATGTTACAATATTTGCTTTTGTCACTTAATAATGTATCAGCTTTAGCCAAGTGTGGTGGCCTGCACCTATAATCAGAGCTTTTCAGAAGGCTGAGGCAGGGGGATTACTTGAGCCCAAGAGTTTGAGATCATCCTGGGCAACATAGGAAGACCCTGTCTCTTAACCCAATACCAAAACAAAACCAAAACAAGACAAAAAACCATGAAAAACAAAAACTGTTGATTGAATATTGAAAGAGCCCCAAAGTGAGAGCAAAAGATAGATGTATCTTTCTGGCCTTCCAAATACTTAAGAATAGAATGGTCTTCATAGTGAGACTTCAAATTAACCATAACTTATTCTTAACCATACTTACTCTTAACTATTCCAAGTACTTAAAAACACAATGGTCTTTATAGTGACCATAGTGAGACTTCAAATCAACCATAGTATCAATTCCATATATATACATATATATACACATTATATATACACATTATATATACATTATATATACACATTATATATACATTATATATACACACTATATATTATATATACACATTATGTATATTATATATACACATATATAATATATATACACATTATATATATTATATATACACATTATATATATTATATATACACATTATATATAATATATACACATTTTATATATATTATATATATACACATTTTATATATATTATATATATACACATTATATATATAATATATATGTACATATTATATGTATATACACACACACACACAAACACACAGAGAGACAGGAGAGAGGGTCTTGCACTGTTGTCCAGGACTGCATATATATATATATATATATATATATATATGTGTGTGTGTGTGTGTGTGTGTGTGTGTGTATAAAATACATATATAACATATAATATAATATATATAATATATTATGTATAATATAATACAATATATAATATATTATATATAATATATATGTATAATAATACATATAATACATATAATATATATTATATATTTATATAATATAAAGAACTAAGTAGTATAAATTCCAGAAGGCATGTTAGGAATATATGGAAATGTAGTTTAACAGGATTTGGGGGAGTAAATATTATGAAGCTAGAATAGCTAGTTGAATAAGGTTGAAACCTTGCTTTCCAACAAGGAAGGAGTATATTCATTTAAACCTGTCGTGTTTTCACTAGCCTTGAATGACACTATGCTTTTTTCAGGGAGAGAAGGGGGTTGATACTCCAGGTGAGGAAATACAGACATGGTGCTTTTTATGAGGCTGGCAGTCTTCCTCAAAGCCTTCAGATGCTGGCAGTTAAATACACAGGAATCTAGTCAGTCAACTGTTTTGAAGATGAAGTTATCAGTCTGAAAACAATTCAATCATCTTGAAGATCGGTGCTTCCAACACTCATTTTTATAGCTGAAGCAAGCCCAATTCACAGAAGTGCTATACAAAATTTTAGAGGGGTGCCCCTCACATTATGTAACTAGGTCTCATTGAGAAGCCCCAAGCAAGAGTGGACCCTAGGGGGATGCCTTCCTACTGTTAACATCCGGAAGCAGCCGTTCTGTATGTATGCTGGAAATACTGCAGCAAATCCAGTCTTGTCTGAGACACACCCTTGGAAAAGGAGTAAGATTTCTTAAAGGAGTAGATGTAATCCCACTTGCCATCTTGGGACTCCCTGCCACTTCTCATCCTCTTCATGTCCTGTCCAGTTATATTCCTGCTGATGATATCAAATGGCCACATGGATGACTCTTGTGGCTCTGGTGACTCTTTTACTTCAGGAATCTTCACTCTTGCTCATTTCCATGGCTGCCTCCAATGGCAGCACACTGTCTTTGACTTCCAGTCTCCACCTGAATGCTCATTCTGTAATTCTGTACTCTTGGGCCATCCTTATTCTTCCATCTGCCAGTATCTCCAGATCTGGTCCTTGATCACTGAGACTGCCACTCAACCCTCCCTTTCTCCCAGGTTAGCAGCCACCTGCCCTCTCCTCTGCTTCCCTTCACTACCCAAGAGAGCCCCAGAATCCCCAATTGAATAGGCTGCCTTTCTCAATTAAAATAAATTAGGCTCTACAAGTCTCCATTTCTGAAGCATCTCCATCTTTCTACCCTCAGTGAAAGGGACAGAAGAGAAAGACACTTACAATTCCTCCACAGAGCTAGAACAGGAAACTCACCTACAAGTATGTGGTTTGGTTCCTCTCAATTCAGGCTAGCCCAACCACTGTTGGGCCCTCACTACAGGTGATCAGTCCTCTCTGCTTTAAGGAGCTATTCTTCCCTTACCCACATGAACTAGTCTGCACCTCCAAGCTGCTCCTACAACTCATGATCTATCCGTCTAAATTGTCTGAGTAGATGGAGCTTTTTAAGGGTGTGTTTCTCGTTATCCCAAGTTGACTGTTCACCTTTGCAATTCTTGCCTTTCCACCAGTCTCAGAGGAACCAAATATGTGTATCGTTTTCAAGGCCCATCCTTCTTTCTATTTGACTCTTTTGCACTCTTGGCTCCAGTCCCTATGGCACTTCTGGGGCCTTGTTCCATCACTTGTACAATCTTCTTCCTGGATTTTGAGACAACCTACTAATAGCTGCAGGAATTAGCCACCCAGTAAAATATTCATAAATACCACCTCTTGGTGCTTTTCATTTATCTAAAGGATACTCTTTTCATAAAGAATGAGGGCTTCAGATTTTGCTTGACAAGCATTATCAAAAATCATTCTGGAAGACAACTAATTCCTTCTCGCACTTTCTTTTCACTTCCATTTGAATTTTTTTTATCTTGGCATCTTTAAAGAACTTCAACTGCAAGTTGATCAAAAAATTAAAATTCCAACTATTATACTATAAAAACAGTAACAGATTATTTCTCCAGAGCTAGGCCCAACATTAATGCTCTGTCTAAATATGTTGTCCAAATATGTTCTATTTACTTCATCTATAGTTTTTTCTAATTCACTGTACCTGTAGGACTCACTCAAAAGGCATAAAACAAATGTCATGAGAAAAAAATCATATGCACAACAGAATACTATCACATTCTTTATTAAAAGTTCTAGATATTTTTGATAGACCTAAGATTAAGTTTTTAGAAGACAAACTTGTGAAGCGAAACAAGATAAAATTTACCTTTTGACATGTTTCTGCTCAAATTTGCTCCTCTATTTCTCTTTTATATTCATTTGGCTTTATTTCTAATGACTCAAACTTGATATGCTGAAGGTAAGCCTCTGCAAACTGATCATCTATAAGCTCAACCTTCTCAGCTATTGAAAAGTAACAGGTCAAATTAAGACACAGAAGCATGGTCAGGTGTGTAAGAGGGCAGACATCTGGTTTAAAAGTAAAGATTATACTTAGGGGAAAGCATAGGTGTCTTCAATTTACTTTGAAATACCCAAAGACAGTAACACAGATGCATGAATGAACAGATAAAAATGATGAATCAAGTATAATACAAATATAATAGTGCAATCTAGGTGGTATATAAGGGTTAGCTAGAGTTGTTTCAACTTTTCTGTATGTTGAAAATGCTCATCATAAAATGTTAGAGGAAAAACAAAACCAATAGTAGAGTTTAAGCCAGAAAATACTGGAGTCTTCTACTCTCTAAGTGCTAAGGCAGGGAGGTCTTCACTGGACTTTGGTTAAAGCTGACTTCACATTCAATGCCAATATAGGTTAATAAGTGACTACATAACAGCACAACCTGCACACACTTCAAACCCTCTGCTTTATAGATAAAGAACAAATGTCAATATAGGTTAATAAGTGACAACATAACAGCATAACCGGGACTAAAGTGGGCTCTACTGACTCTTTCTTCCATTGGTCCACTGGCCCTCAAACCAGCTGTGGATCTGAATCAACCACATAGCAGAGCACAAATCTGAACCCAGAGTACAATCTCAACCATGTATAACACCCACCAAAAAGTGTGCATACAGGAAAAAAGTCTGGCTGAAGTAGATTAAAGCACTGATAGTGTTTGGCTCTGGCGGGCATGACTTTAGACATGGTTTTACACCTACTTTTCTGTATTTTCCAAATGTTGTCAAAATCAGAACGCTTAAACCACATCTAGCCATTGACACTTGAACGGTGTCAGTCTGAACTGGGATGTGCTTTAAATGTAAAAAACAGATAAGATTTTAAAGACTTCGTACAAGCTATAAATGTAAAGTATCTTATTAGTATTTTTATACTGAATACCTGTTAAAACAATATTTTGGATGTATCAGGTTACATATATTATTAAAAATTTCACCTGTTTCTTTTAATGTGTTCAATGTGGCTACTAATGTTGTTTAAAAAATTAGGTATGGTCAACAAGAAAATTCAAGTAATTTAAATCAAATTAAATTTATTTTCCTTCTCCTTAAAACTTAGCTTCATTCTTTTATAAGGAAAATACATAGAAGAATCTTGTTAGAGTTTACAAAGATGTAGGCTCCTATCTTTTTGGTTTTATCAAATCCTAAAACCTGTTAAAAGAAAATATTTTGGCTGAGTGCAGTGCCTTATGCCTATAATCCCAGCACTTTGGGAGGCCAAGGTGGGTGGATCACGAGGTCAGGAGATCTAGACCATCCTGGCTAACACGGTGAAACCCTGTCTCTACTAAAAATACAAAAAAATAGCTGGGCGTGGTTGGACGCACCTGTAGTCCCAGCTACTCGGGAAGCTGAGGCAGGAGAATGCCGTGAACCCGGGAGGCAGAGCTTGGACTTTAGGAAAAGGCAACTAGTTCTCTCAGGCGAGCTTTGATTTTTCTTTGCTTTCATTGGGGAATCCACAGGGCCCCTCAGCAGCACTACTGGACACCCTTTCCAGGCTTGCCATCGCCATTGACGGCCTCTAAGACACTGTCTCAACCTCATCTGCACCAGTGGGAGGCGAGTCCAAAGTGAGAGAACACGGCTCCACATTGGACTTGCCTTTGCCGTCGTTGTTGTCTTTCCTAGAGAGTCCCTGCGAGTCCCATGACGAAGGGAGGCAGTGAGGGCAAGAGCCGGCCGTCGTTCGCGGACACCCGCCTCTGGGGTCTCAGGTATGATTCTATCACCTAAGGTATGATTCTATCACCTCTGCAACAACACACCAGAGTATATTCCAATCCCAGTGGGGCCGGATTCTTGTACATAGCCTCTTTCCAGAATGGAGTCAGAAAAGTAGTTTCCAGCGACCACCTCACAGTCTTGAAATGCCTCCTCCCGCAGCAGGTCCAGACCATGTAGACGACCCAAATGGGCCTGAGTTCGAGACTTTTAGGGTCCCGCAATGGGTTTTCGCAGTCAGCCTTTTCCCCTGTAACAGGCTGCCTCTGCCTGAACCATCTTCTTCTTCAGCTCTTACAGCTCTGACAGTCGGGCTCCCTGGACCTGCCTAATGAATGCACATGCGCTAGTCTCAGGGCAGGAGGCCTGATGGTGAGTTCTGGCTAGCGTCAAAATGAACGTCAGCGTTGCGTAGTGACAAGTCTCTGCATCTTGACAGAGAAGGAGACCTCCGTGGAGGTGCATCGGTGGTGGACTCTTGCGTGTCTTATCTGTGGAATCCACAGGATAGTCCCATGATCGCAGGAGAGGGCAGACATGAGCCAGCCTGAAGAAATGTCAAGAACAGCCCCAGGAATAAACCACGAAATTCCTAAGGAGCCAAAAGGATCTACAGGATTCCTCAGGCCTGCCTAGACTTTGTAGGGGGGGAGTCTTTTTGAAACTAGCCACAGTGCGATTTCTAGGTACAGCATGCCTGTTTTAATGGGGGTTGCTCTCTCCCTGGTAGGTCTTCCTGCAGAACTATGCAGCCTCAGGAGCTGCTGGCTGTATGTTTCTGTAAGAGTGTTGGGAGTGGTCATGTCTGAGTGTGTGTGTGTGTGGCATTGTGTGTGTGTGTGGGAAGGGCAGGGGGGAATGTGCCTGTAAGTGGAGTAGGCTTAAAGGAATGTGGCTAACAGACTTCAGCGCTTCTTTTTTTTGAGTCTCCCAACCTTTTGTTGGCCTGTGGTTGTGGCTCTGCTTTGGCTGTGGGGCTCTGTGTTCTTTATTTTTCTATGGATCATTAATCCACAGTGAAGTGGGAAGCTGGCCGACACCCGCTGGCATCCAAATCATCTCCCCCTGAGAAAAAAGCCACCCTCCTAGAAAGAGGAGGAGCACACCACACCAAAAAAACAGGCATCTCCCAGTGTTTCATTTTCCTGTGGCCAACCCTGGGAAAGACATTAACAGTCCTGTCCACAGTGCCCTTTGAAATTACCTGGAATTCAGTTCCCAGGTGAGCAGGTGTTTCACATGAAGGGGCACTCTTCCATTGTCTTGGGATTTCATTCTGGGACATAGAGTTTGAGCAGCAATAAAGTCAGATAGGAGTGAGGGTAAAATCTTGTGAGGGGTAGATGGAGTCCCACAACTTCACCTGCAGAAAAATGAAGACAGGTAACAAAGAAGGCACTTCCAACTCCATCCTTGCATTCCCTTAACTGCACAAGCAGTCCACACCATGGCCCAGTGTTCATGTGAGAGTACTCCAATGTGCAAGAAACATTTGGAGTGCAAATTGGGGCCAACCTGGCAGACTTACGATTTGAGGGCTTTCATACCCAGAGCCAAATGAGATTGGAATGGATTGATGCTGGGTGTCATGTGGCTTCCACACTTGCCTCTTCTTTTCCTGACTTCCATGTTCCCAGTCAGCCTAGGGTTTCCTGTGTCTGGTTCAAGGACTTGCCCACTAAACTTTTCCCAGTTCACAGAGAATGACCCTCATAGGAATCCATTGCAAAAGTGTTTCCTTCTAAACACTGTCACATTTTAATGACTGGGCAGCTTTGATACTTTTAATACTGTAAAGTCCCATTTCAGCTGCCAACAAGGAAAGTCTTGTTCTCCCACATTTTTCGGAGGGCTGGATGATTACTTTATTAAGAGATGCAGGCAGCTGTGTTTGGCTTTCTCCTGGTAATCTAGTCTCTCTTTCATTTCATCAGCACAGGTTTCTCATTGTGAAGGGGCTCTTTCATTGGGATGTTGCAGGACGGGACTGTTTATTGCTACACATTATGTAGCTGCCATGGATTTCAGACAGCAAAAGAGACTTCAGGTAAGCTGGCTGTGCTCCAGGTTGGGAGTCGTTCTCTTGTTATGGGGGTTGAGGTTGTTTGCACTTTGCAGGAGGCTCTAGGGTCCTCTGACAGGAATTTTTGTACATTGCTTGGACTCAAATACAAGGTGTCTTGTTCTCTCAGATGAGCTTTGATTTTTCTTTGCTTTCATGGGGAATCCACTGTGCCCCTCAACAGCACTACTGGACATCCCCATCACCACAGACGGCCTCTGAGACACTGTCTGAACCTCAACTGAACCTGTGAGAGGCCAATCCAAGGTGTGAGAACACTGCTTCACCGTGGACTTTCCTTTGTCATGGTTCCTGCCTTTCCTGGATAGCCCTGCGAGTCCCAGGATGAAGGGAGAAAGTGAGGTCATGAGCCTGGCCATCTTTCGCTGACACCCACCTCTGGGATCTCAGGTATGATTCTAGCACCTAAAGAACACTTAACGACACACAAGACTATGTCCCAATCCCCATGGGATTCGATTCTTGCACACAGCCTCTTTTGGGCATGGAGTCAGAAAAGCAGTTTCCAGTGACTACCTCACAGTCTCAGAATGCCTCCTCCTTCAGTGGGACCCGTCCATGTATACAACCTGAAGGGGCCCTGAGGTGGAGATTTCTAGGGTCCTACAATGGGTTTTTACAGGGAGCCTTTTTCCTGACATCATGCCAGCTTGGCCTACACCATTTTCCTCTGCTTGCCTGCCTCAGGAATGTGCATATGCTAGTCTCAGGTCACCAGGCCTGATTGTGAGCTCTGGCTAGTGCCACAATGAATGTCACCATTGCATAGTGACATGTCCCTGCAGCTTAACAGAGAAGGAGACCTCCATGAGGTTGCATAGGTGGTGGACTCTCACCTATCTTCTCTGTGGGATGCAAGGGATATTCCCATGATGCTAGGAGGGGACAGAAGTGAGCCAGCCTGAAGAAACATCAAGCACAGCCCCAGAAATAAACTGTGAAATCTGTGAGGATCCAAAAATCTCTGCAGGATTGCTCAGGTCTGCTAGACGATGTAGGGGTGAGTCTTTTTGAACCTTCTCCCGCTGTGTTATGTAGGTACAGCCCACCTGTGTTCCTTGGGGTTGCTCTCTCCCGGATGTGGCTTCCTGTGGAACCATGCAGCCTCAGGAGCTGCTGGGCTGTGTGTTTCTGTGGGAGTTTTGTGAGTGTTAGATGCCTGCATGTGTGTGTGTCATTGTGTGTTTGTGTGTGCATGTGTGTGTGCCTGTAAGTGGAATCAGCTTAAAGTAATGTGGATAATGCACTTCAGTGTTTCTTTTTTTTGAGTCTCCAAACTTTTTGGTGGCCTGTGTGTGGCTCTGCTAGGGCTGAAGTGCTCAGTGTTCTTTGTTTTTCTGTGGATCTTGAATCCACAGTGAATTAGGAGGAGTGCCAAGATGCACTAAATCACCTCCACCTGAAACAAAAAAAGCCACTCCTCTAGAAAGAAGAGCATACCCCCCCGCCCACACACACAAACAGACATTTCCCAGTGTTTCACTGTCCAGCGGCCAACCCAGGGAGAGACATTAGCAGTCCTGCCTGTAGAGCCCCTTGAATTTACCTAGCATTCAGTTCCCAGTTGAGCAGTTGCTTCAAGTTGTGAGGGGGCACTCCTCAATCATCTTGGGATTTCACCCTGGGAAATAGAGTATAAGTAGCAATAATGTTAGACAGGGGTGAGGATACGACCGCTGAGGGGAAGATTGGGTCCTGCAACTTCACCTGCAAAAAAAAAAAAATGAAGACAGATGACACAGAAAGTGCTTCCAACTCCAACCCTGCATTCCCTTAATTACACAAGCAGTCCACATCTTGGCTTGGTGTTCAGGTGGGGGTACTCCAACGTGCAAGCCACATTTGGAGTGCAAATTGAGGCCACCCTGTCAAATTTCCCATTTGAGGGCTTTCACACCCAGAGCCAAATGGGAGTGGAATGTATCGATGCTGGGTGGGATATGGCCTCCAGACTTGCCTCTTCTTTTCTTTACTTCCATGTTCCTCATTGGCCTAGGGTTTCCTGGGTCTGGCTCAATGACTTCCACACTAAATGTTTCCAACTTCATGGACAACGTGACTGATGGGAATCCATTGTGTGACTGCTTTCTTCTTAACACTTTCATGTTTTAATGACTGGGCTGCTTTGACACTTTTAAAACCACAAATTCTCGCTACAGCCACAAACAAGGAAACTCTTGTTTTCTCACTTCTGTCACATGGCTGCATTATTCCTGTAGGATGAGAGGCAGGCAGCCATGACTGGCTTTTGCCTGGTAATCTAGCCCCTGTTTTATTTCATCTACATGGCCTTCTCATTGTGGAGGGGTTCTTTCTTTGGGACTGGTTGGGACTGCCTCTCATCACAGATTATTCAGCTGACAGGGATTGCAGAGAGTAAGAGGTACTTCAGGTAGGCTGGCTGCACTCCAGGTTGTGGATCGTTCTCTTATTGTGGTTGCTGAGGTTGTTTGCACTTAGCAGGAGGCTGTTGGGTCTTCTCACAGGAATCATTGAACATTGCTTGGATTCCAGAACAAGGCAGCTCGTTCTCTCAGGCAAGCCTTGATTTCTCTCTGCTCTCATAGGAAATCCTCAGTGCCCCTCAGCAGCACTACTGGACATCCCCATCACCACAGATGGCCTCTGAGACACTGTCTCAACCTCATCTGCACCTGTGAGAGGCCAGTCAGAGGTGTGAGAACACTGATCCATCTTGGACTTGCCTTTGTCCTGGTTCCTGCCTTTCCCAGAGAGCCCATGTGAGGCCCAGGATGAAGGGAGGCAGTGAGGTCAAGAGCCTGGCCATATTTTGACACTGCAACTGCCTCTGGGGTCCCAAGTATGAGTCTGTCTCCCAAAGAACACAACAACACACCACACTATATTCCAATCACCATGGACCTGATTCTTGCACACAGCCTCTTTCAAGAATGGAGTCAGGAAAGCAGTTATCAGCGACGACCTCACAGTCATGAAATGCCTTGACCTCCAGCGTGACCTGACCATAGAGATGATCTGAAGGGGCCCTAAGATCAAGACTTTCAGGGTCTCCCAGTGGGTTTTTGTAGGCCGACTTTTCCCGATATCAGGCAGGCTCTGCCGGTACCATTTTCCTCTGCATAGACAGGCTGACAGCTCTGAAAGCCTAGCGTGGACGCCTCCATCGTGAATGCGCATGCGCTAGTCTTAAGGCACGGGGCTTGAGCTGTGAGCTCTGGTTAGCATCACAATAAATGCCTCCGTATTCTAGCCACAAGTCCACGAGTCCACAAGCCACTCGTGGCTCGACTTAGAAGGATACCTCCCTGGAGGTGCGTTGGCAGTGGTCTCTCGCCTGCCTTATCTGTGGGATCCATGAAATAGTCCCATGATCCTAAGAGAGGTCAGACGTGAGCTGCCTGAAGAAATCTCAAGCAGAGCCCAAGGAATAAATCACGAAATCCCTAAGGATCTAAAAGGATCTGCATGATGCCTCAGACCTACCTAGAAGTTGTAGGGGTGAGTCTTTTCGAAACTTGCCCCACTGTGATTTATTGGTACAGCCCACCTGTATACCCAAAGATGCTGTCTCCCAAGTGGGGCTGTCTGCAGAACCACGCAGCCTCAGAAGCTACTGGGCTGTGTGATTCTGTGGGAGTGTTGCAATTGTTGGGTATCTGCCTGTGTGTGTGGCTTTGAGTGTGTGTGTGTGTCTGTGTCTCTGTCTGTATGCCTGTAAGTGGAGTCCGCTTAAAAAAATGTGGCTAATGCACTGCAGAGCTTCTTCTTCTTCTTCTTCTTTTTTTTTTTTTTAATTCTCCCAAGCTTTTGGTGGGCTGTCTCTGTGGCTCTGCTTGGGCTATAGGGCTCCATGTTTTTTATTCTGTGGATCATGAACTTATAGTGAATTGGGAGCTTGACTGAGACCAGCTGGGATCCAAATCACCTCCCCCTGCAAAAGAAGCCACTCTTCCAGAAAGAAGAGGTGCACACCACACCCATGAACAGACATCTAGTGTTTCATTGTCCTGTGGCCAACTCAGGGAGGGATGCTAGCATTCCTGTCCGCAGGCCCCATTGAATTTACGTCAAATTTGGTTGTCAGCTGAGTAGGAGCTTCACATCATGAGGGGGCACTCCTCTATCATCTGCATTCTGGGACAGAGAGTGTGAACATCAATAAGGTTAGTTAGGGGTGTGGATATAATGTAGTGAGGGGTGGATGGGGTGCTGCACCTTCACCTGAAAAAAGGTGAAGACAGATGACACAGAAGGTACTTCCAACTGCATCTCTTCATTCTCTTAACTGCACAAGCAGTCCACAACATGACCGAGTGTTGAGGTGGGAGTACTCCAACGTGCATGGAACATATGCAGTGAAAACTGGGGCCATGCTGGCAAACTCCCGACTTGAGGGCTTTCATACCAGAAGCCAGATGAAAGCAAGATGGATAGATGCTGGGTGGGATGTGGCCCCTACACTTACCTCTTCTTTTCCTTTCTTTCATGATCCTCATCCTGGATCTGGTCAATGCCTTCCACACTAAATATTTCCTAGTTCACAGAGGACGACCCTCATGAGAATCAATTGTGTTAGTGTTTCCTTCTAAACACTGTGAAGTTTTAATGACTGCACAGCTGAGATATTTTAAAACCATAAATTCATAAATTTCTGTTAAAGCCACCAACAAGAAAACTCTTGTTCTCCCACTTCTATGTGAGGGCTGCATGATTCCTGTAGGATGAAAAGCAGGTAGCCGTGTCTGGCTTTTGCCTGGTAATTTAGGCTCTGTTTCATTGTGCTTGCATGTCCTTTCTCACTGAGGAGTGGGTGTTTCATTGGGCTGTTGCTGTATGGGACTTCCTCTCACCACAGATACTGTGGATTTCAGAGAGCAAAAGAGACTTCAGGTAGGCTGGCTCCACTCCAGATTGTGGGTTGTGATCTCATCTTGGGAACTGAGGTTGCTTGCACTTTGCAGGTGGCTTTTGGGTACTCTGAAAGAAGTCTTTCAGCATTGCTTGGACTTCAGCACAATTCAGCTGATTCTCTCACATGAGCATTGATTTTTTTCTTGCTTTCATGGAGGGTACACATTGCCCCTAACCAGTATTACTGCACACCCTTTTCAGGCTTACAGTCACAACAAATGTCCTCTGAGACACTGTCTCAATCTCATCTGCACCCATGAGAGGCCAGTTCATGGTGTGAGAAAACTACTCCACCATATACATGCCTTTGTCGTGGTTCCTGCCTTTCCCAGAGAGTACCTGTGAGGCCCAGGATGAAGGCAGGAAGTGACATCCAGGGCACAGACATCTTTTGTTGACACCAGCCTCTGCAGTCTCAGGTATGATTTCATCACCCAGAGACCCCTCAACAACTCAACAGACTATATTCCAATTGCCATGGGACCTGATTCCTGCTCACAGCCTCTTTCAGGAATGGAGTTAAAAGTACAGTTTCCAGCAACCAGGCCACAGTCTCAAATTGGCTCCACCTGTAGTGAAACCTGACCAAGAAGATGGCCCAAAAAAGACCTGACAGTGAGACTTTTATGGTCTCTCAGTGGGTTATCTCAGGCAGCTATTTTCCCAGCATGAGGCCGTCTCTCCCTATACCACTTTTCTCTGCTTAGGCAGCCTGACAGCTCTGACAGCTGGACCCCCAAGCCTGTGATACGAATGCAAATGTGCTAGTGTCCTGTCACCAGGCCAGAGCTGTAAGCTCTGGCAAGCGTCACAATGAATGACAGTGTTGCCTAGCAACAAGTCCCTGGGGCTTGGTGGAGAAGGAGACCACCATGGATGTGTATTGGAAGTACACATTCGCCTGTCTTCTCTGTTGGATCCACAGGATGTTTTGGCTATCCTAGGAGAGGGCAGACATAAGCCATCATGAAGAAAGATCAAACAAAGCCCCAGGAATAATCCGCAAA
This sequence comes from Homo sapiens, assembly GCF_000001405.40. Lineage (NCBI taxonomy): Eukaryota > Metazoa > Chordata > Mammalia > Primates > Hominidae > Homo > Homo sapiens. The sequence goes on along the minus strand of NC_000024.10, from coordinate 9,020,819 downwards.
ATCCCTAAGGATCCAAAAGAATCTGTAGGATACCTCAGGCCTGCCTAGACATTGTAGGGTTGAGTCTTTTTGAAACTTGCCCCTGCTGTGATTTCTTGGTACAGCCCACCTGTGTTGCCTGGGATGGTTCTCTCCCAGGTGGGGATTCCTGCAGAACCATGCAGCCTCAGGACCAGTAGGGCTGTAATTTCTGTGAAAGTGTTGTGAGTTTTGATGTCTCTGTGTGTGTGGCTTTGTGTGTGTGTGTGTTTGTGTGTGTGTGAGTTTAAGCAGAGTCTGTGTAAGTGAATTAGGCTAATGCACTGCAGCACTTTTTTTTTGTTTCCCAAACTTTTGGTGGCCTGTGTGGCTCTGCTTGGGCTGTAGGTCTCTGTGTTCTTTATTTTTCTGTGGATCAAGAATCCACAGTGATTTGGGAGGCTGGCTGTTACCTGCCATGGTCCAAATCTCCTACACCTGCAAAAAAAAAAAAAAAAAAAAAAAAAGCCACTCTACTAGAAAGAAGAGGAGCACACCTCACCCAATAATGTACATCTTCGACTGTTTCATTGGCCTGTGGCCAACCCAGGGAGAGACACTAGAAGTCCTGTTGGCAGGGCCCCTTGAATTTACCTGTAATTCAGTTCGCAGTAGAGCAGGTGTTTCACATTGTGAGGGAGCACTCCTCAATTGTCTTGGGAATTCATCCTGGGACATATAGTGTGAGCAGCAATAAGGTCAAACAGGGGTGAGGATACAATCTGGTGAGGTTTTCATGCAGATCCACACCTTCACCTGCAAAAAAGGTGAAGACTGATGGTGCAGAAGTTACTTCCAACAGCATCCCCACATTTCCTTAATTGCACAAGCCATCCACATCATGGCCTGGAGTTCAGGTGGGAGTACTTCTACATGCGGAGAACGTTTGGACTGCATACTCAACCATCCTGGCAAACTCCCAATTTCAGGGCTGTCATACCCAGAACTAAATGGGTGTGGTATGGATTGATGCTGGGTGGGATGTGGCCTTCACACTTGACTCCTCTTCTCCTGACTTCCATTTTCCCCATTGGCCTGGGGTTTCTTGGATCTGTCTAAATGTCTACCACAATAAATTTCCCAGTTCATGGAGGATGACCCTCATTCGAATCCACTGCATGAGGGTTTCCTTCTAAACACTGTCAAGTTTTAATGACTGGGCAGCTTTGATACTTTTAAAACTGTAAATATCAGTTACAGCTGCCAACAAGGAAACTCTTGTTCTCCTACTTCTTTCAGAGGGCTGCAAGATTCCGGTATGATGAATAGCAGGCAGCCTTGTCTGGCATTGCCTGGTAATCTAGCCTCTGTTTCAATTCATCTGCAAGTCCTTTATCATTGTGGAGGGGCTCTTTCATTGGGTTGTTCCTGCATTGCCCTGCCTCTCACCCCAGATTTCTTGGCTGCCAGGAATTTCGGGGAGCAAAAGGGACTTCATGTTGGCTGGCTGCACTCCAGGGTGTGGGCCATTGTCTCATTGTGGGGGCTGAGGTTGCTTGAACTTTGCAGGAGGCTTTGGGTCTTCTAACAGAAATCATTGAGTATTGCATGGACTCCAGCACAAGGCATCTCATTCTCTCAAGGGAGCCTTGACTTTTTGCTTCCATGGAGAATCCACAGTGATACACAATAGCACCACTGGACACCCTTTTTAGGATTTCCTTTGCTACAGACGGCCTCTGATACACTGTATCAACCTCATCTGCACCCGTGAGAGGCCAGTCCAATGAGTGAGAACACTGCTTCACGTTGGGCTTGCCTTTGTCATGGTTCGTACCTTTCCCAGAGAGCCCCTATGAGGCCCAGGATGAAGGGAGACAGTGAGGGCATGAGCCCAGCCACCTTCCTCTGACACCCACCTCTGGAGTCTCAGGTATGATTCTATTGCTCAAAGAACCCGCAACAAGCAACAGACTATATTCCGATCCACAATGGACGTGATTCTTGCACACAGCTTCTTTCAAGAATGGAGACAGAAGTGCAGTTTCCAGTGACCACTTCAGTCTTGAAAAGCCTCCTACTTCAGCAAAAGCCCACCACCAAGACAGCCAGAAGGGTCCCTGAGATTGAGACATTTAGGGTCCCACAGAAGGTTTTTGCAGGCAGCCTTTTTTCTGATACCAGGCTGGCTCTGCCTGTCCCAGTTTCCTCTGCTGATGGAGACTGACAGCTCTAACAGCATGGTGCCCAAGCCTGCCACATGAGTGCACATATGCCAGTCTCAGAGCACCAGGACTGTGAGCTCTGGTTAGCCTCACAGTGAATTTAACCATTGCCTAGTGACCAGTCCCTGTGACTTGGTGGAGGAAAAGACATCCGTGGAGGTCTGTCAGTGGAAGACTCTCACCTGTCTTCTCTGTGGGATCCAGGGGACAGTTCCATGATCCTAGGGGAGGACAGACATCAGCCAGCCTGAAGAAACATCAGAAACATCAAGCAGAGCTCCAGGAAGAATCTTCAATATCCCTAATGTTCCAAAAGAATCTGCAGGATTCCTTAGGCCTGCCTAGACATTGTAGGGGTGAGTCTTTTTGAAACTTGCTGCACTGTGATTTCTAGATACAGCCTGCCTGTGTTCCCCGGGTTGCTCTATCCCATGTGGGGCTTCCTGCAGAACTACACAGACTCAGAAAGTGCTGGGCTGCATGTTTCTGTGGAATTGTTGAGAATGTTTGATGTCTGTGTGTGTGCTGGACATTGTTTGTGTGTGTGTGTGTGTGACTGTAAATGGAGTCTGCTTAAAGGAATGTGGCTAACGCACTTCAGTGCTTCATTTCTTTCAGTCACACAACCTTTTGTTGGTCTGTCTGTCTGGCTGTGCTTGGGCTGCGAGTACTTGTGTTCTTTACTTTTCTGTGGATCATGAGTCCGCAGTGAATTGGAAGGCAGGCAGAGACCCGCTGGCATACAAATCACCTCTCTTTGGAAAAAACAAAACAAAACAAAACAAAAAAATGAAAACAAAAGAAAACAACAAAAAAAAAACAGTACATAGCACAGTACACCAAAAAGCAGACATCTCCCAGTGTTTCATTGTCCTTTGTCAAACTCAGTGAGAGACATTAGCAGTCCTGTCCTCAGGGCTCCTTTTATTTACCTCGAATTCAGTTCACAGGAGAGCTTGTTGCTTCACGTGATGAGGGTAGACTCCTCCATCATGTTGGGATTTCATCCTAGGACATACAGTGTAAGCAGCAATAAGATAAGATAGGGGTGAGGATACAATCTGGTGAAGGGTGGATGGGGTCCCGCAACTTCTCCTGCAAAAAAATGAAGACAGACGATACAGAAGGCGCTTCCAACTCCATCGCCACATTCCTTTAATTGTGCAAGCAGTCCACACCATGGCTCTGTGTTCAGTTGGGAGTACCCCAACCTGCAAGGAACATTTGGAGGGCAAATTAAGGCCATTTTAGAAAACTGACAATTGGAGGGCTTTCGTGCCAGGAGACAAATGGAAGTGGAATGGATTGATGCTGGGTGTGATGTGGCCTGCAGACTTGTCCTCTTCTTCTCCTGACTTCCATATTTGTTATCAGCCTAGGATTTCCTGCATCTGGCTCAAGGACTTCCACACTAATCATTTCCCAGTCACAGAGAACAACCCTTACTGGAATCCATTTCATGAGTGTTTCCTTCTAAACACCATCAGGTTTCAATTACTGGGCTGCTTTGATACTTTCAAAACCATAAATTCCTATTACATCTGCTAACAAGGAAACTCTTGTTCTCAAGCTTCTATTGGAGGGCTGCATGATTCCTGCAGGATGAGAAGAAGCCAGTCACGTTTGGCTTTTGCCTGGTAATCTAGCCTCTATTTCATTTCATCTGCATAGGCTTTTCATTGTGGAGGGTTTCTTTCATTGGGCTGTTGCTAGATAAAGCTGTCTCTCACCACAGATTATTTAGATGCCACGGATTGCAGAGAGCAAAAGGGACTTTGGGTAGGCTGTCTACACTCCAGGTTGTGGGTCATTGTCTCCTTTTGGGGGTTGAGGTTGTTTGCACTTTTCCGGATGCTTTTGGGTCCTCTGACAGGAATCAGTGAACATTGATTAGTCTCCAGCACAAGGCATCTCATTCTCTCAGGTAAGCTTTGATTTTTCTTTGCTGTCATGGGGAATCCACAGTGCTCCTCATCAGCAGTACTGGACACCCTTATCATGCTTGCCATCAACACATATGGCCTCTGAGACAGGGTATCAACCTCATCTGCTCTGGTGAGATGTCAATCCGGAGTGTGACAAAACTGCTCCACAGTGGACTTGCCTTTATCATGGCTCCTGCCTTTCCCAGAGAGCTTCTGCAAGGCCCACAGTGAAGAGAGGCAGTGATGGCAAGAGTCCAGCCATCTTTCTCTGACACCCATCTCTGGGGTCTCAGGTATGATTCTATCACCCGAAGAACCCTCAACAACCCATCAGAATATATTTCATTTCCCAGGGGACCCAATCCTTACACAAAGCCTCTTTCTGCAACGGAGTCAGAAGATCAGTTTCCAGCGACCACCTCACAGTATCAAAATGTCTTCTCCTCCAGCAGGACCCAGCAACAGAGATGGCATGAATGGTTCCTGAGTTTGAGACTTTTGGGGTCTTGCAGTGGATTTTGACAGGCAGCCTTTTTCACAATAACAGGTCACTTCTGCCTGTACCATTTTCCTCTGCTTAGGCAGGCTGACATCTCTGATGGCCTGGAACCTGAGCCTGCCTCACAAAGGTACATGCACTACTCTTAGGGCACCAGGCCTGATTGTGAGCTCTGGCTAGAGTCACAACATATGTCACCGCTGCCTAGGGACAAGTCTCTGCGGCTTGGCAGAGAAGGAGACCTCCGTGGAAGTGCGTCGGCAGTGGACTCTCGCCTGTCTTCTCACTGGGATACGCAGCATATTTCCATGATCCTAGGAGAGGGTAGATGTGAACCAGCCTTAAGAAATATCAAGCACAGTCCCGGGAATAAATCACAAAATCCCTAAGGATCCAAAACGATCTACGGGATTCCTCAGGCCTGCCTAGTTTTGTAGGGGTGAGTCTTTTTGAAACTTGCTCCACTGAGATTTCTAGATAGAGTTGGCCTGTGTCCGTGCAGTAGCTCTCTCCCAGGTATGGCTTCCTGAAGAACCACACAGCCTCAGGGTCTACAGGGCTGTATGTTTCTGTGGAATTGTTGCTAGTGTTGGATGTCTACGGGTCTATATTGCATTGTGTGTTTGTGAGTGCTTGTGTGTGTGTGTGTGTTTGCCTGTAAGAGGAGACTTCTTAAGGGAATGTGGCTAATGCACTTCAGTGCTTTTTTGTTGTTGTTGGGTCTCTAAATCTTTTGGTTACTTGTCTGTGTGGTTCTGCTTGGGCTGCAGGGGTTCCATGTCCTTCATTTTTCTGTGGGTCTGAACTGGGAGGTGGGCAAGACCCACCAGCTTTCAAATCACCTCCCCCTGCAAAAAACCAGAACAAAACAAAACAAACCTATCTTCTAGAAAGAAAAGGAGCCCCCACCACATGAAAAAACAGACATCTCCCAGTGTTTCATTGTCCTGTGGCAAACCCAGGGAGAAAAACTCACAGTCCTGTCTGCAGTGCCCCCTTGAATTTACCTTGAATTCGGTTCCCAGGAGAGCAGGTGTTTCACATTGTGAGGAGACACTTCTCCATCATCTTGGGATTTTATTCTGGGACATAGAGTGTGAGATGTAATAAGTTCAGAAAGGAGTGAGGATACAAACTGGAGAAGGGTGGATGGGTTCCTGCAACTTCAACTGCAAAAAGATTGAAGACAGGTGTCACAGAAGGTGCTTTCAACACCATCTCTACATTCAATTAATTACACAACCAGTCCACACCATGGCCCGGTGTTCACATGAGAGTATTCCAACGGGCAAGGAACATTTGGAGTGTAAATTGGGGCCATCCTGGTACACTCCTGATTTGAGGGCTTTCATACCCAGAGCCAAATGGGAATGGAATGGATTGATGCTGGGTGAGCTATGACCTCCATACTTGCCTCTTCTTTTCCAGACTTCCATGTTTCTCACTGACCTAGGGTTTCCTGGTTATGGCTCAAAGACTTCCACAGTAAACTTTTTCCAGTTCACAGAGAATAACCCTCATCGGAATCCATTGTGTGAGAGTTTCCTTCTAAACACTGTCAGCTTTAATGACTGGGCAGATTTGATACTTTTAAAACTGTAAATTCCTGTTATATTCACCAACAAGGGAACTCTTGTTCTCTCACTTCTATCAGAGTGCTGCATGATTTCTGCAGGATGAAAAGCAGGCAGCCGTGTTTGTTTTTTGCCTCATAATCTAGCATATTTTTCACTTCATCTGCATGTTCTTTTCATTGTGGAGGGTCTGGTTCCTCCTTGGGCTGCTGCTGCTTGGGACTGCCTCTCACCACAGAGTAGTTAGCTGCCAGGAATTTCAGACAGCAAAAGGGACTCCGGGTAAGTTGGCTGCCCTTCATGTTGAGGGATGTTTTCTCCTTGTTGGGGCTGAGGTTGTTTCCACTTTGCAGGAGTCTTTTTGGTCCTCTGACAGGAGTCATTGAACATTGCTTGTACTCTACCATAAGGCATCTCTTTCTCTCAGGCGAGCCTTGATTTTTCTTTGCTTTCAAGGGGAATACACAGTGCCCCTCAACAACACTACTGGATACCCTTTCAGACTTTGCACTGCCACAGAAATCCTCTGAGATACTTTCTTAACCTCATGTGAACCTGCAATAAGCCAGTCCGAGGTGTGAGAACACTGCTTCACCTTGGACTTGCCTTTGTCGTGGTTTCTGCCTCTCCCAGAGAGCCCCTGTGAGGTTCGGGATGAAGGGCAGCAGTGAGGTCAAGAGCCTGTCTTTCACTGGCACCCACCTCTGGGGTCTCAGACATGTTTCTATCACCCAAAGGACCTTCAGAAACACCAGACTATATTCCAATCCCCATGGGACCTGATTCTTGCACACAGCCTCTTTGGGGAATAAAGTCAGAAGACCAGTTTCCAGTGACCACCTCACAGTCTGAAAATGCCTCCTCCTCCAGGGGACCAGACGACAGAGATGGCCCAAGGGGGCCTTGACGTGCAGAAATTTAGTGTCCCACAGTGGGTGTTCACAGGCAGCCTTTATTGCAACACCAGGACTGTTTTGCCTGCAGTATTTTCCTGTGCTTAGGCAGGCTGACAGTTCTGAGAGCCGGGCATCCTTGCCTGCCTCAGGACTGTGCATGTGCTAGACTCAGGGAACGAGGCCTGATTATGATCCCTGGCTTGTGTCACAACGAATGTCATCATTGCCGAGCTACAAGGCCCTCAGCTTGGCGGCGGAGACCTCCATGTAGGTGCAATGGCAGTGTGTTCTCACCTCTTTTCTGTTGGATTCTCCAGATAGTGCCATGATCCCAAAAGAAGGCAGATGTGAACCAGACTGAAGAAACCTCAAGCACAACCCCAGGAATAAACTGTGAAATCTGTAAGAATCCAAAATATCTGCAGGATTCCTCAAGCCTGTACAGATGTTGTAGGGGTGAGTCTCTTTTAAACTTGCCCCACTGTGATTTCTAGATACATCCTGCCTGTGTTCCAACAGGATACCCTCTCCCAGATGGGGCTTTCTGCAGAACCATGCATCCTCAGTAGCTGCTTGGCTGTGTGCTTCTGTGGGAGGCTAGCGAGTGTGGGATGTTTGTGTGTGTGTGTGTGTGTGTGTATATGTGCATGTGCCTGTAAGTGGAGTCTGTTTAAAGGAATGAGACTAACACACGTAAGCGCTTCTTCTTCTTTTTTTTTTTTTTGAGTCTCCCAACCTAGTGTTGTCCTGTCTGTGTGGCTCTGCTTGGGTTGCAGGGCTTTGTTTTCTTCATTTTTCTGTGGATCATGAATCCGCGGTGAATTGGGAGGTGTTTCATGACGCTCCGGCTTTCAAATCACCTCTGCCTGCAAAATATAAATAGATAAATAAATACATAAACAAATAAATAAATAAATGCCACACCAAAAAACAGGCATCTCCCAGTGTTTCACTGTTCCGCAGCCAACCCAGGGAGAGACATTAGCAATCTTTTCCACAGGGAGACACACAAAGCCACACACACATGCAGACATCCGACAATCACAACACTCCCACAGAAAAAGACAGCCCAGCATCTCCTGAGGCTGCGTGGTACTGCAGGAAGCTTCAATTCGGAGACAGCAACCCTGGGGAGCCCATGTGGGCTGTGCTTAGAAAACAGAATGGGGCAATTTTCAAAAAGATTCACCCCTACAACATCTAGGTAGAACTGAGGCATCTTGAAGATCCTTTTGGACCCTTAGGGATTCCCCAGTTAATTCCTGCAGCACTTCTTGGGGTTTCCTCAGGCTGGTTCACGTCGGCTTTGTCCTAGGATCATGGGATTATTCTGAGGATCCCACAAAGAAGACAAGTGAGAGTCTCCCGCCAACCCATCTTCATGGAGGTTTCCTTCTCAGCCATGCTGCAGGGACTTGTCTCTAGGCAACTGTGGCATTCATTGTGACACCTTCCAGAGCTTACAGCTCAGGTCTCCTGCCCTGAGATTAGCACATGCAAATTTGCGAGGTGAGGTCGGGTGCCCAGCAGTTAGAGATTTCTGCCTGCCTAAACAGAGGAAAATGGTACAGGCATAGCTGGCCTGGTATCAGAAAAAAGGCTGACTGCGATAATCCCCTGCAGGACACTAAAAGTCTCAACCTTAGAGCTCCCTTGGGTTGTCTCCATGGTCTGGCCTTACTGAAGAAGGACACATTTTGAGACTGTGAGCTGGATGCTGGAAACTGCTTTTCTGACTCCTTGCCCAAAAGAGGCTGTGTGTAAGAATCAGGTCCTATTGAGAGTGAAGCTAGCTGGGCTTCTGGGTCCAGTGGGGACTTGGAGAAGTTTTCTGTCTAGCTAAAGGATTGTAAACACACCGATCAGCATTCTGTAAAAATGGACCAATCAGCACTCTAAAAACGGACCCATCAGCACTCTGTAAAATGGACCAATCAGCAGAATGTGGGCAGGGCCAAATAAGGGAATAAAAGTTGGCCACCTGAGCCAGCAGTGGCCACCCACGGGGGTTCCCTCCCATGGTGTGGAGGGTTCCTTCTTTTGCTCTTCACAATAAATCTTGCTGCTGCTCAGTCTTTGGGTCTGCACTACCTTTATGAGCTGTAACACTGACTGCAAAGGTCTGTGGCTTCACTCCTGAAGTCAGGGAGACCATGAACCCACCAGGAGGAACAAGCAACTCCAGAGGCCCCAACTTTAAGAGCTGTAACACTCACTGGGAAGGTCTGCAGCTTCACTACTGATGTTAAGTGAGACCACGAACCCACCAGAAGGAAGAAACTCTGGACACATCTGAACATCTGAATTAACAAACTCCAGACACACCATCTTTAAGAACTATAACGCTCACCCTGAGGGTCCACAGCTTCATTCTTGAAGTAAGCAAGACCAAGAACCTACCAGAAGGAACAAATTCTGTTCATGCCCTGGGAATTGGAATATAGTCTGATGAGTTTCTGTGGGTTTTTGGGTGATGGAATCATACCTGAGACCCCGAAGCGGGTGTCTGCAAAAGATGGCTGGGCTCTTGACCTCATCCTCCCACTGCCCATGGCCTCTCTTCATTCTGGCCTCATAGGGGCTCTTGGGGAAAGGCTGGAACCATGACAAAAGTAGGTCCAAGTTGGAGCAGTGTTCTCACACCTCAAACTGGCCTCTCACAGGTGCAAATGAGATTGAGACAGTGTCTCAGAGGCTGTCTGTGATGACCACAAGCCTGGAATGGTGTCCAGTAGTGCTGTTGAGGGGCAATGTGGACCCCCCGATGAAAGCAAAGAAAACTCAAAGCTAGCCTGACAGAACAAGCTGACTAGTGCCAGAGATGCAGCAATATTCTTTTTTTTTTTTAAATTATACTTTATGTTTAGGGTACATGTGCACATTGTGCAGGTTAGTTACATATGTATACATGTGTCATGCTGGTGCTCTGCACCCACTAACTCATCATCTAGCATAAGGTATATCTCCCAATGCTATCCCTCCCACCTACCCCCACCCCACCACAGTCTCCAGAGTGTGATATTCCCCTTCCTGTGTCCATGTGATCTCATTGTTCAATTCCCACCTATGAGTGAAAATATGCGGAGATGCAGCAATATTCTAAGGTATGTCAGAAGACCCAAAAGCGTCTGTCAAAGTACAAATAAACTCAGCCCCCAAAATGAGAACACAAGCCACAACCCAGAACATAGCCAGCCTACCTAAAGTCCTTCTTGCTCCCTGAAATTCCTGGCATCCAAAAGATGTGTGATGATAGGCAGTCCCATTCAGCAAGAACACAATGAAAGATCCACTCAACAATGAGAAGACCATGCAAATAAAAGTGAAACAGAGGTTAGATTACCAGGCAAAAGCCAAACACAGCTGCCTGCTTCTCATCCTACAGGAATAATGAAGCCCTCTGATAGAAGTGAAAGAACAAGAGTTTCCCTGTTGATGGCTGTCACAGCAATTTATGGTTTTAAATTATAAATGCTTCCAGTCATTAAAAAGTGACAGGGTTTAGAAGGAAACACTTATGTGATGGATTCCCATGAGGTTAGTTCTTTGAGAACTGGGAAAGGTTAGTGTGGAAGCCATTGGGCGAGATCCAGGAAACACTAGGCTGACAAGGAACCTGGAAGTCAAGAAAAGAGGAGGTAACCCCTCCCAGCATTAACCCATTCCATCCCCATTCCAACCCATTTGGCTATGGGTATGAAAGCCATAAATCAGGAGTTTGCCAGGATGGGCCCAATTTGCACTCCAAATATTCCCTGAACGTTGCATTACTTCCACCTGAAAAACAGGCCATGATGTGGACTGCTTGCACAATTAGCAGAATGGAAGGATGGGTTTGGAAGTAGCTTCAGTGTCATCTGTCTTCATTTTTTTAAATTTTATTTTTTGAAGTTGAAGTTGTAGGACCTATCCACTCCTCACCAGATTGTATCCTCAACCCTATCTGACCTTATTGCTGCTCACGCTCTGTGCCAGGATGAAATCCCAAGATGATGGAGGAGTGGCCCCTTTGACCTGAAGCACCTGCTCAGCTGGGAACCGAATTCAAGGGAAATTCCAGAGGTCCTGGGGACAGGACTGCTAGTGTCTCTCATTGGGTTGACCACAGAACAATGAAACACTGGGAGATGTCTGTTTTTTAGTGTGGTGTGTTCCTCTTCTTTCTGGAAGAGTGCTTTTTGTTTGTTTTTTTGTTTTGCCGGGGGAGGTGGTTTGCACGCTGGCAGGTCTCAACCTGCCTCCCAAAACGCTGCGGATTCATGATCCACAGAAAAATAGAGAACACAGAGCCCTGCAACTAAATCAAAACTACAAAGACAAGCCATCAAAAGGTTGAGAGACTCAAATAAAGAAGCACTAAAGTGTGTTAGCCACATTCTTTTAAGCAGACTCCATTTGCAGGCACACACACACACACAAAGACACAATACCACACAAACCCATGCAGAAATCTGACACAACACTCCCACAGAAACACACAGCCCGGCAGCTTCTGAGGCTGTGTGTTTCTGTGGGAAGACCCACCTTGGAGAGAGCAACCCCAGGGAACAGAGGCAGGCTCTGTCTAAAAATATCAGGGGGGCAAGTTTCATAAAGACTCACCCCTAAAATGTCTAGGCAGGTCTAAGGAATCCTGCAGATGATTTTGGATCCATAGGGATTTTGCAGTTTATTCCTGGGGCTCTGCTTGACATTTCTTCTTGCTCACTCACATCTTCCCTCTCCTAGGATCATGGGATTATTCCACAGATCCCACAGAGAAGACAGGTGAGAGTCCACCAGCGCATCCCCACAGAGGTCTTCTCTGCAAGCTGCAGGGACTTGTCTCTTGGCAACAGTGACATTCATTGTAACACTTGCCAGAACTCAAACTCAGGCATGGTGCTGTGAGTCTAGCTCATGCACATTCCTGAGGCAGGCTCTGGCACCCAGATGTCAGAGCTGTCAGCCTAACTAAGCAAAGGAAAATGCTACAGGCAGAGCCAGCCTTGTATCAGGAAAAATGATTCTTATGAAAACCCACTGCGAGACCCTAAAAGTCTAAAACTCAGGGCCTCTTTGGGCCGTCTCCATGGTAAGGTCCTGCTGGAGGAGGAGGCGTTTCAAGACTGTGAGGTGGTCTCTGTAAAATGCTCTTCTGGCTCTATTCCTGAAAGAGGCTGTGCAGAAGAATCAGATCCCATGGAGACTGGAATAGAGTCTGTTGTGTTGTTGGGGTTCTTTGGGTGATAGTATTATACCTGAAGCCCCAGAGGTGGGCATCAGTGAAAGATGCCCGAGCTTGACCTCATGGCCTCCCTTCATCCTGGGCCTCACAGGGGCTCTCTGGAAAAGTCAGGAACCATGACAGAGGAAAGTCCAAGGTGGAACAGTTGTCTCACACCTCAGACTGGTCTCTCTCCTTGGTGCAGATGAGGTTGACACAGTGTCTCGGAGGCTGTCTGTGGTGATAGTAAGCCTGAAAATTGTGTCCAGCAGTGCTGTTAAGGGGCATTGTGGATTATCCATGAAAGCAAGAAAAAAACAAGGCTTGCCTGAGAAAATGAGCTGCCTTGTGCTGGAGCCCAAGCAATGTTCAATGATTTCTGTCAGGGGATCCAAAAGCCTACTGCAAAGTGCAAGCAGCTTCAGCCCCCTAAATGTGACCATAGACCAAAATGTGGAGCACAGTAAGCCTACTCGAAGTCCCTTTTGCTCTCTGAAAACCCAAGAAGCTATGCAATCTGTGGTGAGAGGCAGTCCCATCCAGTAACAGCTCAATGAATGAGCCCCTCCACAGGCAGACAGCCCTGAAGATTTAATGAAACAAAGCCTAGATTACCAGGTAAAACCTACCCACGGCTGTCTTCTTCTCCTACAGGAATCATGCAGTCCTCTGATAGAAGTGGGAGAATAAGAGTTTCCTTGTTGGTGGCTGAAACAGGAATTTATGGTTTTAAAAGTATCAAAACTGCCCAGTCATTAAAACTTGACAGTGTTTGGAAGAAAACACTCATGCAATGGATTCCACTGAGGGTCATTCTCCATGAACAGGGAAACGTTTAGTGTGGAAGTCATTTAGCCAGACCCAGGAAACCCTAGGGTGACCAGGAACATGGAAGTCAGGAAAAGAAGAGGCAAGTGTGGAGGCCACATCCCACCCAGCATCAATCCATTCCACTGCCATTTGGCTCTAGGTATGAAAGCTCTTAAATCGGGAGTTTGCCAGGATGGCCTCAATTTGCACTCCACATGTTCCTTGCATGTAGGAGTACTCCCATCTGAACACCAGGCAATGGTGTGGACTGCTTGTGCAATTAAGGGAATGCGGGCATAGAATTGAAAGCACCTTCTGTGTCATCTGTCTTTCTCTTTTTGCAGGGGAAGTTGCGGGACCCCTTCCCCTTGTCACCAGATTCTATCCTCACCTTTATCTGACCTTATTTCTGCTCATATTATATGGCCCGGATGAAATCTCAAAACAAGGAAGGAGTGTCCCCTCACAATGTGTAGCACCTGCTCACCTAGGAAATGAATTCGAGGTAAATATAGGGACCTGAGAACTGGACTGATAGTGTCTCTCCCTGGGTTGGCTGCAGGAAAATGAAAAACTTGGAAATGTCTGTTTTTTTTTGGTATGGTGTTCTCGTCTTCTTTTTAGAGTGGCTTTTATTGCACGGGGAGATACCTTGGTCACCGGCAGGTTTGGCCTGCCTCCAGAATCACTGAGGATTCATGATTCACGAAAAATAAATAACACAGAGCCCCACAGCCCAAAAGAGCCACACAGACAGGCCACCAAAAGGTTAGGAGATTCAAAAAAAAAAAAAAAAAGAGAAACAGCTGAAGTGCTCTAGCCACATTCCTTTAAGCAAACTCCACTTAACGGCACACATACACACACAAACACACAATAACACACACACAGGCAGACATCCAACACTTGCAACAATCCCACAGAAACAATAGCCTGTGAGCTCCTGAGGCTGCGGGGTTATGCAGGAAGCCCCATCTGAGACAGAGCAACTCCAAGGAAAATAGATGGGCTGTACCTAAAAATCACTGTAAGGCAAGTACCAAAAAAACTCACCCTTCCAACATCTAGACATCATGCAGATGCTTTTTGATCCTTAGTGATTTGGCAGTTTATTCCTGGGGCTCTTCTTGATGTTTCTTCAGGCTGGCTCACATCTACCCTATCCTAGGATTATGGGACTATCCTGTGGATCTCACAGAGTAGACAGGTCAGAGACCACAGCCGACGAACCTCCATGGTGGTCTCCTCCTTGGGAGTCTTCTCCACCAAGCTGCAGGGACTTGTTGCTAGGCAACGGTGACATTCACTGTGACTCTAGACAGAGTTCACACTCAGGACTGGTGCCCTGAGAGTAGCTCATGTGGATTCCTGAGACAGGCTTATGTGTCCTGCTGTAACAGCGTTCAGCCTGCCTAAGCAGAGGAAAATGGTACAGTCGGAGCTGGCCTGGTATCAAGAAAAAGGCTGCCTGTGAAGACCCATGGCAGTACAATAAAAGCCTCGACCTCAGGGCCCATTTGGACCATGTCTGTTGTCATGTCCCCATGGAGGATGAGGTGTTTCGAGACTCTGAGGTGGTCACTGGAAACTGCTCTTCGAACTCCATTCCCAAAAGAGAATGTGTGTGTGCAAGAATCGAGTCCCCTGCTGATTGGAATATAGTCTATCTGGTGTGTTGTTGATGGTTCTTTGGGTCATAGCATCATACCTGAGACCCCAGAGGCATTTTTCAGCAAAGATATCTGGGCTCTTGACCTCACTGCCTCCATCATCCTATGCCTAGCAGGGGCTCTCTGAGAAAGGCAGGAACCATGACAAAGGCAAGTCAAAGTTTGAACCACGTTCTCACACCTTGGACTGACCTCTTATGGGTGAAGATGAGGTAGAGACCATGTCTCAGAGGTCATCTTTGATGATGGAAAGCCTGAAAGAATTGTCCAGTAGAGCTGTTGAAGGACACTGTGGATTTCCATAAAAGCAAAGAAAAATCAGTGCTCACCTGACAGAATGAGCTGCATTGACCTGGAGTTTAAGTAATGTTCAATGCTTCCTGTCAGAGGTCCCAAAAGCCTCCTGCAAATTACAAACAACCTTAGCCCCATAATGAGACAACGACTCAAACTTGGAGTGCAGCCAGACACCTGAAAGTCCCTTTTGCTCTTTGAAATCCCTGGAAGCAAAATAATCTTTGGTGAGAGGCAGTCCCATCCAGCCACAACCTAATGAAAGAACCCCTCCTCAATGAGAAGACCATACAGATGAAAAAAAATCAGAGGCTAGATTACCAGGCAAAAGCCAGACAGGGCTGCCTGCTTCTCATCCTGCAGGAATCACGCAGAATGCCAACAGAAATGAAAAAACAAGAATTTCCTTGTTGGCTCCTGTAAAGGGAATTTACAGTTTTAAAAGTGTGAAAGCTGCCCGGTCATTAAATTGTGACAGTGTTTAGAAGGAAACACTCATGCAATGGATTCCCATTAGGGTCATTCTCTGTGAACTGAGAAACATTTATTGTGTAAGTTATTGAGCCAGACACAGGAAAACTGGCGCCAACAAGAAACATGGAAGTCAGAGAAAGAAGAGTCAAGTGTGGAGGTCACAACCCACCCAGCATCAATCCATTTCATTCCCATTTGGCTCCCAGTATGAAAGCCCTCAAAATGGGAGTTTGACAGAATGACCCCAATTTGCACTCCAAATGTTCTTGCCCATTGGAGTACTTTCACCTGAACACTGGGCCATGGTATGGACTGCTTGTGCAATTAAGGAAATGTTGGGATGGAGTTGGAAGTACCTTCTGTGTCATCTGTCTTCATTTTTTTGCAGGTGAAGTTGTGGGATCTCATCCAATTCCCACCAGATTGTATCCTCACCCCTGTCTGACCTTATTGCTGCTCACACTCTATGTCCAAAAATGAAAACCCAAGACGATGGATTATTGCCCCCTCATGATGTGAAGCAACTGCTTGACTGGGACCTGAATTTGAGGTAAATTCAAGGGCCGTATGGACAGGACTGCTAGTGTGTCTCCCTGCATTGGCTGCAGGACAATGAAACACTCAGAGATGACTGTTTTTTCATGTGGTGTGCTCCCCTTTTTTCTAAGAGTGGCTTTCTTTTGGAGTGGGAGGTGAGTTTGACACTGGTGGGTCTCAGCTTGCCTCCCAATTCACTGGGGATTTATGGTGCACAGAAAACTGAAGAACATGGAGCCCCACAGCCCAAGGAGTGCTGCACATACAGGCCACCAAAAAGTTGGGGGACTCAAAAAAAGAAGTGCTAAAATGTGTTAGCCACATTCCTTTAAGAATACTCCACTTATATTCTAACATGCACACACATAGACACACACATACATGCAGACATTCAACACTCTCAATACTTTCACAGAAACACACAAGCTGGCAGCTCCTGAGGCTGCGTGGTTCTGCAGGAAGTCCCATTTGGGAGAGAGCAACCTTGGGGAACACAGTTGCTGTACCTGGATATCACAGTAGGGCAAGTTTCGAAAAGACTCACCCCTATAAAGTCTAAACAGGTTTGAGGAATTCTGCAGACTGTTTTGTATTCTTAGGGATTTCACAGTTTATTCCTGGGGCTCTGTTTGATGTTACTTCTGGCTGCCTCACGTCTGCCCTCTCCTAGGATCATGGGACTATCCCATGGATACAACAGAGAAGACAGGCAAGAGTCCACTGCTGACGCACCTCCATGGAAGTCTCTTTATCTGCCAAGCTGCAGGGACTTGTCTCTGGCAAAGGTAACATTCATTGTGAAGCTAGCCAGAGCTCACAATCAGGCCTGATGTCCTGAGACTAGGGTATGAACATTAATGAGGCAGGCTGGGGCACTGGCTCTCAGAGCTCTCAGCCTGCCTAAGCAGAGGAAAATGGCAGAGGCAGAGTCTGTCTGGTATCAGGGAAAAAGCTGCCTATGAAACCCACTGCAGGACCCTGAAAGTCTCAACTTTGGGGGTTATTCAAGCCATCTCCATGGTTGTGTCCCACTGGTGGAGGAGGCATTTCAAGACCATGAGGTGGTCGCAAACTGCTCTTCTGAGTCCATTCACAAAGGAGGCTGTGTGAAAGAATCTGGTCCCATAGGGATTGATATATAGTCTGGTGTGTTCTGGAGGGGTTTTTTGGGTGATAGCAGCATACCTAAGACCCCAGAGGAGGGTGTCAGGAAAAGATGACCAGGCTCTTGACCTCTCTTCCTCCCTTCATCTGGGGCCTCGCATAGGCTTTCTGGGAAAGGCAGGAAGCAAGACAAGTCAAGTATAAGATCAACACTTCTCACACCTCGAACTTGCCACTCATGGGTGCACACGAGTGTGTGACACCTTCTCAGAGGCTGTCTGTGGTGATGGCAAGCCTAAAAAGGGTGTCCAGTAGTGCTGTTGAGGAACACTGTGAATTATCCATGAAAGCAAAGAAAAATCAAGGCTCACCTGAAAGAATGAGGTGCCTTGTGCTGGAGTCCAAGCAATGTTCAATGATTCCTGTCAGAGGACCCCAAAGACTCCTGCAAAGTGCAAACAACGTCAGCTCCCACAACAAGACAACAACTCACAATATGCAGTGCAGCCATGTGACCCAAAGTCCCTTCCTCTCTCTGAAATCTCTGGCAGCTAAATAATCGGTGGCAAGAGGCATAACTATCCAGCAATGGAACAATGCAAGAGCCCTTCCACTATGAGAAGTCCATACAGATGAAATGAAACAGAGGCTAATTTACCAGGCAAAAGCCAGACACAGCTGCCAGCTTCTCATCCTACAGGAATCATGCAGCACTCCAATAGAAGTGGGAGAACAAGAGTTTCCTTGTTGGAGGCTGTTATAGGAATTTATGGTTTTAAAAGTATCAAAGCTGCCCAGTCATTAAAATGTGAGAGTTTTTAGAAGAAAACACAGATGCTATGGATTCCCATGAGTGTCATTCTCATGAACTGAGAAACATTTAGTGTGGAAGTCATTGAGACAGACACAGGAAACCCCAGACTTGTGAGAAACATGGAAGTCAGAAAAAGAAGAGACAAGTTTAGAGGCCACATCCTACCAAGCACCAATCCATTCCACTGCCATTTGGCTCTGGGTATGAAAGCTCTGACATTGGGAGTTTGCCAGGTTGGCCCAAATTTTCACTCCAAATATTCCTTGCACACTGAAGTACTCCCACCTGAATTCTGGGTCATGGTGTGGACTGCTTTTGCAATTAAGGGAAAGTTGGGATAGAGTTAGAAACAACTTTTGTGTCATCTGTCTTTATTTTTTTTGCAGGTGAAGTTGCTGGACCCCATTCTCCATTCAGCAGATTGTATCCTCACCCCATCTGACCTTATTGCTGCTCACACTCTATGTTCCAGGATAACATCACAAGAAGATGTAGTAGTGCCCCCTCATGATATGAAGCATGTGCACAGCTGGGAACCAAATTCGAAGTTAATCCAAGTGGTCTTGCAGACACATCTGCTAGTGTGTCTCCCAGCTTTGTCCTCAAGATGATGGAAACACTGGGAGATGCCTGGTTTTTGGTGTGGTGTGCTCTTCTTCTAGAAGAGTCATTTTCAGTGCAGGGGGAGGTGATTTGGATGCTGGTGGGTCTTGGCCCGCCTCCAAATTCACTGCGGATTCATGATCCACAGAAAAATAACACTGAGCCATGCAGCCCAAGCAAAGCCACACAGACAGGCCACCAAAAGGTAGTGAGGCTAAAAAAAAAAAAAAGAAGCACTGAAGTGTGTTAGCCCCATTCCTTTGAGCAGACCCCACTTACAGGCACACACACACACAATGCTGCACACACTTGATGTCAAACACTCGCAACACACCCACAGAAACACACAGCGTGGCAGATCCTGAGGTTGCGTGGTTCTGCAGGAGGCCCCACCTGGGAGACAGCAACCCCAGGGAACAGAGGCAGGCTGTACCTAGAAATCATATTGGCACAAGTTTCAAAATCCATACAACCTCTAGGCCAGACTGAGGAATTCTGCAGATCTTTTTGGATCCTTAGGGATTTTGCAGTTTATTTCTGGGACTGTGGTTTATGTTTCTTCAGGCTGACTCCCATAAGCCCTCTGATTGTGGTTGATGTTTCTTCAGTCTGGTTCACATGTGCCCCCTCATAGGATCATGGGACTATCCTGTGGATCCCACAGAAAAGACAGGGGAGAGTCCACTGCCAATGCACCTCCAAGCAGATCTCCTTCTCTGCCAAGCTGCATGGACTTGTTGCTAGGCAACGCTGACATTCTTTGTGAGGCTAGCCAGAACTCACCCTCAGGCCTGGTGCCCTGAGACTAGTACGTGCACATTCTTGGGGCAGGCTCAAGCACTCAGCTGTCAGAGCTGTCAGCCTACCTAGGCAGAGGGAAACGCACGGGCCAAGCTGGCCTCACATCAGGAAAATGGCTACCTAAGAAAACCAACTGCAAGACCCTAAACATGTCAACCTTAGGGCCCCATGGCAGTCTCCATGGTCTGGTCCTGCTGGAGGAGCAGGCATTTCAAGACTGTTAGGTGGTTGCTGGAAACAGCTCTTCTGACTCCATTCCTGAAAGAAAATGTGTGTGTGCAAGGATCAGATCCCATGGGGATTGGGATATATTCTGTTGTGTTGTTCAGTATTCTTTGGGTGAAAGAAGACCCCAGAGGCAGGTGTCAGTGAAAGATGGCCAGGTCCTTAATCCCACTGCCTCCCTTCATCCTGGGCCTCACAGGGGCTCTCTCAGATAAGCAAGAACCACAAGAAAGGCAAGTCCACGTTGGAGACATGTTCTTACACTTTGAACTGGCCTGTCATGGGTGCAGATGAGGTTGAGACAGTGTCTCAGAGGCTGTCTGTGGCGATTTCCACCCTTGATAGGGTATCCAGTGGTGTTGTTGTAAGAGCACTGTGGATTACTTATGATAGGAGAGAAAAAAATCACTTGAGAGAATTGTTGGGAAACCAGCCCTACACTGCCCAGTGGGTACCCCGAGTCCAGCGGAGACAAATAATTAGAAAGAGACAGAATGAGAGTTTAAAAGGCAGATCCAGGGGAACAGAGAATTGGAGGCTTGCTCATGGCCCAGAGCTCTCAGACTCCACCCAATTTATTGGTTTACAAGCTCTTTGTTCTTAGGGCAGATAGGAGGGGTAGGAAGGGATGAGGGGAAGTATTAATCAGTGAGGGAGAACTCCCGAGTCATTCAATAAGATGTATAGCAGTGGCAGTTTCTGTGAATTTCCTCTAGCAAAGGTGTGTGTCTAAACTGCTTAATATATTTAACTTATTGTGACTGAAATGGATGGGATCAGATTTCAGGAGAAGCCAAGAGGGTTGATTATACGCCACTGCTTCAAGGGAGTGTTATTTCCCTGAGCAACCTGTGGCATGCTGCTGAGCTGTTATGCTCTCTGGGCATAAGGACATGAAGGCAATCAGGAGACTTTTCTCCTCAGAGGCCACACATGGCTCCCTGTGGGAGTCTCACACCGGGGATACCAACTCATCTGGCATCCCAGAAACTCTCTTTCCCTCATGTCCCACTTTTTTGTCTCCATTTTTTTAAATTAATAACCACCATTGCTATCATAGCTCATTCATGGTGCCTATCTACTCTCCCAAGGTGCTGTCCACATCAGTAGGTTAAAAAAAAAAGCATAAACAGACACAAACCAAAATAATGTTTGCAATTGATGATCCACCTATGGTTTTAATTCACTTTATAGGATTAGTGTTTAAAAGGCCATCAGCGGTTCCAACAAGAATATCAGCTCCAGGCAATAGGCTGGGATGAGCTTGAGATGTGGCAAAAAGTTGTTTTTTCAGTTTAGCAGGATCTAATGTTAAATTATCTTCTTCTCCTGGTAGGTGATGTCTAATCATCTCCCAGTGGTGTTCAGTGGTATTATAAGAGCTAGGAGGAATACAAAAATCAGAAGTATTCCAATCACATTGCATTTGAATTCTATGCTCCAAGCTCATAATCCAATCTCCCATTCAAATTACTGTTTGATGAAGATCATTAATTTGATTTGCCAATTTTTCATCTATTTGGCTTTGGAAATTCCAAAGCTTGGAAAAATTTTTCTGCCAACTATCCACAGAGCTCGCAGTTTGAATAGAAGAGTGCAAAGCAAAGCCAGCCGCAGCAGCTGTAGCTGTGACAGCTATAAGTCCCATGATGACAGCTATTAAAGTAAATATGAATCTCTTTGATCTATTAAGTATCTCTTTGATCTTTTAGTACTGCAGTGATAATATATATGGAGGGAGAGGCCTCCCAACTCTGTTGAGGGAAACAGGTATCCAAACTGCTTCTCGGGCCCTAACCAGTAAAATGCTATTATTTTTATTAAAGGTAGAATTAATGCAGGTAAAAATATGACAGCTGAGGCATGATATGGTTTGAGAGTCAAGTAGGACATTAACTTTTCCTATTACTAACATAAAAGTAGGTATAACACAACTATGCAATGGGACTGTCTGATTAGAGATCATGGCTACAACAAACTGAAGTTTTTTACTATGGGTCTCTGTTTTATATTCTCCTTTCCAAATTCCAACTGCGGTTTGAGCCATCACTAATTTCCACATTCTGGATGTTCTGGACTTATAATTGGATTAATCATTTTTGGGCTTGGAGGAGCCATACCATTCTCCTCCTACATAATAGGGTAATTTGTTTCAATTCTTCTATATAATTTTGGTGCATTATCTGGTAGTCCTTTGCAAAGGAGCCTCTCCAAAATCTTTGCTCTGTCCAGTACAATTTACTGCAAAGTGACCCCTAGGGGCCCAATCAATGATGATTCCAATGGAATTATTTCACAATACTGCAGTGCTGTTTGCAATACAATCTTCCCATGTTAACACCTCTAGGTTTTCAGACCATTTAGTGGCCTGCCTGGGGCAGGACTTCTTATTAGGTTTAAATTTATTAATCTGATGATGTGTCATAACATAGCCATGCTCAAGGTATTTCATAGTGTCCAAAAATTGAAATGTTCTTCCACCGATTACATGAATAGAGGCATTTGATCCATTATGTGCAGGGACATAAACCATCCAACTTTGTTTATCATAATTTAAACATCCTGCTGCTGGCCCCAGGAAGATGGAAGGAAAGTGATAACCAATGGAAACTTTCATTAACATTCCTTCCTCCTCTGGATGAGTAGGACCTCAGTTATCTGTTGGTCCAGGCATCCAGACACTATCATTAACACAACATCCACTGGGGCATCTAACCTTGTAACAGGACTAATCAGTGGTGGGAATGGAATGTAGGTCCAGTAAGTGTAATTTTGATCTGCCCCTCTACAGGGAGACTCACCACAAAGGAGATGACCACCATCATAGCTACCATTAGATTACTGGTGGTCAGCAGCTTGTGTTGAGACCTCAGGTTCTCTTCTGCAATGCGAACTAGTGTCTTCATCTGCCTCCAGGTAGGTGGAGTCGCTTGGTGAGTGTTACTGGTTTCCATCTGCTCAATAGAGATGTTCATCTGAGCCATCTGATGAACTGGGGGTGCAGGGATTTTCTGAGGTCTTTTCCTCTTCCTTGAATTCTGGCTCCTGGCACAGCTTAAGATGTCTTGTGGGTACCCAGACAAGAAGCTGATTCTCTCCTGGTGAGATACAAGCAAATCCTCAACCCCAAGAAGACCTACTGGGGCCTTTTCTTTTGGCCAGTTTTTTGGCTATTGATAAAGAGCTATGATTGACACATCTGCTCCTGTGTTGACAAGACCCTCAAATTGTTTTCCTTGAATAGTGACCATACAAATAGGTCTATTGTCAGAGACTTGATTTACCCAATAGGCAGCCTTGCCTGCTGATTTTGTGCTTCCAAATCCTCCTTTTTTTCTGAGCTTGCTTCTGACTTAACATACAGTAAAAGAAACAGTTGAGCTATTCTGTCTCCTGGATTAGCACTCCAGGGGACAGTGGAAGAGATAAAAATTTGAATTTCTCCCTGGTAATCAGAGTCCACTACTCCAGTATGTACTTGAATTCCCTTTAATTTCAAGCTGGACTTTCCCAGTGTAAGTCCCACCTTGCCGTTTTACAATGGGCCATAAACCTTCATTGGGATCTTCCTAGGAGGCTCCCCAGGAAGGAAGGATATAGCTTTTCCACAGCATAAATCTACTGCCCCACTTTTATCTCTGGTGGGGGACAATTGCTATACATTTGTAAAGGGATAGACTGGGCTGGGAATACTCTCTTTGGAGTCAGGGATGACCCACCCCAAATAGGTAATGCCCTGTTTTGAATCAGGGCCTGGTCCGGAGTTTTCCCTTTTTTGGCTCTTTGTACACTCTCTTTTTGCATGTCCTATGTGTCCCCAATTATGTCAAGATCCAGGGAACACTGCTGTGTTTTTTGTTACCCTTAGTCCAGCCATTGACTGACAAAGGAGGCTGGCCTTATATAAGGGCCCCTCAATGCCATCACAGGCTTTAATATATTCGCTTAAAGTTTTTTTCTTCATTTACATCTGCCTTTACTTTAATAGATCTAATTTCTGCCTGATGTTCTGTATTCACATTTTCATAAGCAAGCCACTGAATGATCCCTTTCCTGGCACGAGACCAAAATAACCTTTTGAGCAGCTTCTTGCAAATGGGGCAATAAAATCTGGATAAATCTCCCTTGGACCCTGTCAAACTGAGTTAAAAGAAGGATAAGTAGTAACAGGGTCATGAATTTTTTTCCTGGGATCGTAAGCATATAGTTCTGAGCTGATCGACAGACTCATCACCCTTTACCACCTGTTGATTTACAGTACCCAATGCCTGTCCGATTCCAAGCAATTGGTCAGATGTGATATTAATGGGAGGTTGGGCTTGAGCATTTCTTCATGCCTGATTTGTTGCTTCATCTGTCTACCAGGTTTTTAAATGGAGAAATTGAGAGGGAGACAGGGTGGATTGAGCTAATCACTCCCAATCCATAGGTATTAAATGCCTGTTATAAGCCACAAATTATAATAAGGAATGAACATAAGAAGAATTTGACCCATATTGTTCACTTGCTTGCTTTAAATCTTTTTAATATTTTAAAGAGAAATGGCTCCCAGAATGCCTGAACATGTTCTCTGGGCTCCTTAGCTGGATAAATAATTACTGGAAACTGCCAAGCATCGAAATCCCCTATTTCTTGTACCTGTCAAATGGATGCCTGAATTGCCACTGCACCATAATTTGTATTTGGACTGGCTAGCAGCATTTCTCTCCCATAATTAACAGGTGGAAAAGCCTGGATCATTCCCTCACCGTAATTGGCTGTTGGGCTGTTGAAGCTTCCCTTTAACATGGTCAATGGTAGGCCCTGCAACAATGGGAGTGGCAAGCTGAGTCTCAGTCTCCCATTCCAAAAATTCATAAGGCTGAGGTGGAGGTGGCCATTTTGCACCTTCCCCTAAAGGCACAGTAGGAGGAACTGTCTCTTTCATACATTTTTGGAAGTTAGAATATATTCCTTCCCATTTCTCCCCCTTTTTAAAACTAGACAGTGATGGTTCACTGTGCTGATTATCAGACTCCTGATTATTAAACTTTTCTATGTCATCCTGAAACTTCTCCTCCTCCTCCTCAGTGTGGAAGGGCTCCAGTGCTGTTTTAATTGCCAACCACACAGACCAAGTGGAGAAGGGAATATCGTGACCCTGGAGATAAAGCACCTGTGTCTAAATTGGAGGGGTATTATCTTCATAAACTTATAATTTAGTGAGATACCAAACCAATAGCTTAAATAGAAAATTCAAGTGTGAGATTCAGGAAAGGGCTCATATTTTAAAAATTATTTTAGAGTTCCTCAGAAAACTGAGTTGAAGGAATGCTCATTAATATATAAATAGGGATAAAAGTGGTGAAGATAACCTGTCTATAGAAGGGGTAAGGAAGTATAGATGAAATTAGAAGCATAACTAAGATCTCCTGTGTATATGTCTTTGAATTAGACTTTGGAGGATGTCAGCAAATAATTATGTCCCCCTTTATGTTTTGCATGTATTATTCACTCTAGCTATGCCAATAGGTGGTAGCTATAAAATAGCTGTGGTTAAGCGCACATTTAATTCACGACACCAAAAGGGATCCCTCAATTTCCAAGGAAATAAGTGGATGTACAGTAATGTGACATAACTATTGCTAATATTGTGATAGGTTTTCTGATAGCCAAGGGAAGGGAGAAAATGATAATCACAATGTAATACAGTCCAGTACACCAGCACCTAAAACTCATTACTCACCAACTACTATGCTGTTCCCAAATATCATAGTATCTTTAACTTAAAATACACTTAATTTAAAATAACTCTATTAAAATGAAAGCTACTCTGTGGCAGTAAAGAAATGTCTTTGAGTTAGGAGTATGTCTTAATGTTAGTCCAATTCATCTTTTGCCATGAGAACTTGATCAATCTGTTGTACTTATCTAGTATTAGAATATGCATTTAAGATAACTATAATAATCATGTCATATGATCTATATCATAGAGTAATCTATAGGGATACGATGGAAATTGAATCATATATCAAGTATGAAATGCCTTTGTAAGCCAAAAGGAAAATAATTTATATGATTTGGTAGATAAAAAACTCATGCATTTCTCAGGAAGAGCTTTCTCTCCCCTCTCCTTCCCTCTATTCTTTTCTATTTCCATCCTCTTCTTCCTTTACTTCTCCTACCAAGTTTTTGAGCCTTACCCTGAGTCTGTGGCAGAGAGATGAAGTGTGGTCAAATGGAAGTGGGGGTGGAGGTAAAAGCCAAGGGATTTGTAGAAGTAGACTGAAAGGGTCACAGAAGCAGAGGTAGTCATTGGCCTTTAGTGGTGCCAGGGTCCATGGCTAGGTCCTGTCACTCTCTGGCAGGTCTCGACTCATCTCCCAGTACACTGTGTATTCATGATCCACAGAAAAATAAAGAACACAGAGCCCTGCAACTAAAGCAAAGCCACACAGACAGGCCATCAAAAGGTTGAGAGACTCAAATAAAGAAGGGCTGAAGTGTGTTAGCCATATTCTTTTAAGCAGACTCCATTTGCAGGCACGCACACACACAAAGACACACCACCAGACAAACACATGCAGAAATCTGACACTTTCAACACTCTCACAGAAACACACAGCCCAGCAGCTTCTGAGGCTGTGTGTTTCTGCAGAAAGACCCACCTTGGAGAGAGCAACCCCAGGGAACAGAGGCAGGCCGTACCTAAAAATATCAGGGGGGCAAGTTTTATAAAGACTCATCCATAAAGCATCTAGGCAGGCCTAAGGAATCCTGCAGATGATTTTGGATCCATAGGGATTTTGCAGTTTATTCCTGGGGCTCTGCTTGACATTTCTTCAGGCTTGCTCACATCTTCCCTTTCCTAGGATCATGGGATTATTCCATGGATCCCACAAAGAAGACAGATGAGAGTCCACCAGCGCACCCCCACAGAGGTCTCTTTCTCTGCAACTGCAGGGAACAGTGACATTCATTGTGACACTTGCCAGAACTCAAAATCAGGCATGGTGCCCTGAGTCTAGCTCATGCACATTCCTGAGGCAGGCTCTGGCACTTGGCTGTCAGAGCTGTCAGCCTGACTAAGCAGGGGAAAATGCTACAGGCAGAGCCGGCCTTGTCTCAGGAAAAATGATGCCTATGAAAACCCACTGTGAGACCCTAAAAGTCCCAAACTCAGGGCCTCTTTGGGCTGTCTCCATTGTCATGTCCCACTGGAGGAGGAGGCATTTCAAGATTGTGAGGTGGTCACTGGAAACTACTCTTCTGACTCCATTCCTGAAAGAGGTTGTGTGCAAGAATCGGGTCCTATGGAGACTGGAATATATTTTTTTGTGTTGTTGAGGGTTCTTTGGGTGACAGAATTATACCTGAAAGCCCCGAGGTAGGCATCAGTGAAAGACGCCTGAGCTTGATCTCATGGCCTCCCTTTATCCTGGGCCTCACAGGGCCTCTCTGGAAAAGGCAGGTACCATGAAAGAAGCAAGTCTAAGGTGGAGCAGTTCTCTCACACCTCGGACTGGCTTCTCATTGGTGCAGATGACATTGAGACCGTGTCTCAGAGGCTGTCTGTGGTGATAGCAAGGCTGAAAAGTGTGTCCAGCAGTGCTGTTAAGGGGCACTGTGGATTTTTCATGAAGGCAAAGTAAAAACAAGGCTCGCCTGAGAGAAAAAGCTGTCTTGTGCTGGAGTCCAAGCAATGTTCAATGATTCCTGTTAGAAGACTCAGTCCCCAAAACGAGATCATGGACAAAAACCTGGAGCACAGTGAGCCTACTGGAAGTCCCTTTTGCTCTCTGAAACCCCAAGGAGCTAGATTTAATGAAACAGAGCCTAGATTGCCAGGTAAAACCCACACATGGCTGCCTGCTTCTCCTCCTACAGGAATCATGCAAGCCTCCAATAGAAGTGGGAGAACAAGAGTTTTCTTGTTGGTGGCTGTAATGGGAATTTATGGTTTTAAAAGTATCAAAACTTCCTAGTCAGTAAAACGTGATATTATTTAGAAGAAAACACTCATACAATGGATTCCACTAAGGATCATTCTTCGTGAACCAGGAAATGTTTAGTGTGGAAATCGTTGAGCCAGACGCAGGAAATCCTATGCCAACGAGGAACATGGAAGTCTGGAAAAGAAGAGGTAAGAGTAGAGACCACATCCCACCCTGCCTCAATCCATTCCACACCCGTTTGGCTCCCGGTATGAAAGCCCTCATATCAGGAGTTTGCCAGGAGATTCTCAATTTGCACTCTACATGTTCTGGGGTCCTTTTCACCATGGCCAAAAGGGGCTATTTTCCGGTCCTTGATCCACATGTGATCACCTTGGGAGAAAGTGTGAACTGGGGATAAAAAACTAATAGGGCCTCTTTCATTTTCCCAGGCTGAAATTGTGTAATTTTTACTACAGCCTGTAGCTGTTGCTGTAACTCAACTTCACCTGATTGTTGAAGAGAGCCTGGGAGTTCCCAGAATATGGGAGGGGGCCTATGATAGAATATTTCAAAAGGGGAATATCCTATTCTTTTAGAAGCAGTACTTCTTATCTTAAACAATACCGTAGGGAGAGCCTTTAGCCATTCCAATACTGTTTCCGGGCAAACTTTCCCTAAGCTATTTATGATAGTTTGATTCATTTGCTCCACCTTTCTGGAGCAAATGGAGGTCAGTAGGCTGCATGTAGTTTCCACGTGATCTCAAATACCTTTGCTGTCTTCTGCACCAGGTCAGCCACAAGCACTGACCACTTGTTTGAACCAATTCATAGGGGCAGTCCAAATCTAGGAATAAGATCTCAAAGAAGCACATGGGTTATTTCATGAGCTTTTTCAGTTTGTGTTGGATAAGCCTCTACCAGCCCAGAGTAGGTACAAACAAGAACTAGTAAATACATGTTACCTACACACTTTGGCATTTCAGTGAAGTCCCCCTGGAGATCTTCAAAGGGGGCTGCTCCATTAGCTCGTATGCTGGACAGAACAGCTGGACTGTGCTTCCCATTGTGCTGTCTACAGGTAATTACATCACTGTGCCACCATTTTGGCAAGGGCTGACAAATATTAGATGTAGAAGTACAAGCCTAACAACTTTTCAAGTGTTTCCTGAACTAGGGGGGTAGTTTCATGCACAGCCAATACAACTGTGACTCTTAGCAGCTGTGGAATGGCTATTCTTCTGTGTGGTAACTGGGTCCATCCCTGTTTTGCTGTTTGCCCTCCTTCTGCCTGAAAAAAAAGTATTTGTCTTCTTTAGAATAAGTGGGTACAAAGTCAGGTGCCTGAGAAAGTAGGGTGGCTGAGACCAATGCCTGGCAGGGGATGGAGGCTGCTTTTTGACCTCTGAGTCGGGTCTGGAGTTCCCTAAAGCAACCACGGTAGAAGTTTGTTGGTGTCCCCTGCAATGCATGACTGCCAACTTTTGGTGGAATCATGGGACTGTCCGTGGATCCCAGAGAGAAGACAGGAGAGATTCCATTGGTGACCCACCTCCACCTGGGGGTGTACTTCTCCACCAAGCCACAGGGACTTATCACTGGGCAATGGTGGCATTCATTGTGATGCTAGCAAGGGCTCCCTGCTCAGGCCTGGGGCTTTGAGATTACCACATGCCCATTCATGAGGCAGGCTTAGGTGCCTGACTGTCAGTGCTGTCAGCCTGCATAAACAGAGGAAAATGTTACAGGCAGAGCCAGCCTGGTATTGGAAAAAAAGGCTGGCTGTGACAACCTACTGGTACCCTAAAACTCTTGACCTTATTGCCCCTTCGGGTTATCTCGCTAGTTAGGTCCCAGTGGAGGAGGAGGTATTTTGAGACTGTGAGGTGGTCGCCAGAAACTACTCTTCTGTCTCCATTCCCGAAAGAGGCTGTGTGCAAGAATCAGATCCCTTGGGGTTGGAATAGAGTCTGGTGAGTTGTTGAGGGTTCTTTATGTGATGGAATCATACCTAAGACCCCAGAGGCTGGTGTCTGTGAAAGTTGGCCAGACTCTTGACCTCACTGCCTCCCTTCATCCTGGGCCTCACAGGGCTCTCTGGGAAAGGCAGGAACCATGACAAAGGAAAGTCCAAGGTTGAAAAGTGTTCTCTCACCTCAATCTGTCCTCGCTTTTGGGCAGATAAGCTTGTGACAGTGACTTTGGAGCCGTCTGTGAAGATGGCAACCCTGAAAATGCTGTCCAGCAGTCCTGTTGACAAGCAATGTGGAACCACCAGGAAAGCAAAGAAAATTCAATGCTCGCCTGAGAGAATGAGCTGCTTTGTGCTGGAGCCCAAACAACGTTCAATGATTCTTGTCAGAGGACCCAAAATCCTCCTGCAAAGTGCAAACATCCTTAGCCCCCACAATGTTACCATGACCCACAACCTGGAGTTCAATCAGTATATCTGAAGTCCCTTTTACTCTCTGAAATCCTTGGAAGCCAAAAGATTTTTGGTGAGAAGCAGTACCATCCATCAACAGCCCAATGAAACTGCCCTGCCACAATGAGAAAGGACATGGAGATGAAATGAAAAAGAGCCTAGACAGCCAGGCAAATGTTCAACACTGTAGCCTGCTTCTCAACCTACAGGAATCATGCCGCCTTACAATAGAAGTGGGAGAAGAAGTTTCCTTGTTGGCAGATGTGTGGGAATTTACAGTTTTAAAACTATCAAAGCTGTCCAGCCATTACAACGTGAGAGTATTTAGAAGGAAACACTCATGCAATCTATTCCCATGAGGGTCGTCCTTCGTGAACTGAGATATGTTTTGTGTGGAAGACAGTGAGCCAGAACAAGAAAACCCTAATTTGATGAGGAACATGGAAGTCAGAAAATGAAGAGGCAGGTGTGGAGGCCACATCCCACCCAGCATCAATCTATCCCACTCCCATTTGGCCCTGGGTATGAAAGCTCTCAAAGTGCAAAACCCCAATTTGCACTCCACACGTTCATGGCACGTTGGAGAACTCTCACTTGAACACTGGGCCATGGTGTGGACTGCTTTTGCAATTAAGGGAATGTGGAGATGCATTTGGAGGCAACTTCTGTGTCATCTGTCTTCACCTTTTTTTTCAGGTGAAGGTGTGGGACACAATCCACACCTCACCAGATTGTATCCTCTTCCATATCTGACCTTATAGCTGCTCACATTCTCTGTCCCAGATTGAAACCCGAGTTGAAGGAGTAGTGCCCCCTCACGATGTTAAGCACCTGCCTGGTTGGTCTCACATGTTGATTAATCAAACTTATAGTTGTTTACATTTATTGTGAAACACAGTGTTTTATTTTTCTTCTTTACTCTTCAACAATTATTTTCTTCTCACATTAGTTATAATTTGTAACTTATTTTGTCAAATATATATAATGAGATCACACTGCAGTATGGCAGAAAAGACACTGCATTGGAAACAGACTCATATTGAAACAGCAAAGCATCCCTTATTGCCTGCAGCTGGGCAAGGAATGAGGACAGTTTGTGGGGCTTTGACTGCAGGCAGCACCTAGTGCTGAATATTTACAGCTCCTGAATCCCCAGTGGGGTGTGTTACACGGTGTTAATTTAGCTTATCCATCTGTAGGTGGCTTGTATTAGCTCTATTAGAAACCCTGCCTTACTGCAAAGACAGAAGGCTTTCTGCACCCCTGGGTTTCCTGCCTGGATGTACCTGAAAAATTGGCTCACACATGGGCTTGGAGAAAAAGTGCGAGGTTTCATTGAGTGGAAGTTCTCAGTAGATGAATGGAGAGCCAGAAGGGAGATGGAATGGGAATGTGGTTTTCCCTTGGAATGGGGAAATTCAGTGCTCTGCTCCCACAGCCCCACGGAACTCCGTGTTTTTCTGAGGTGGATGGCCTGCTGACTCATTCCTTGTGCTGTCAGTTCTCTGGTATATTCTCAAGGTCCATTTGCTGTGTCTTCTTCTACTGATGGTTCCTCTTGATGTCCAGCTGCTGAGTACCTTCTTGCTAGGTCTCAGATTTTCTTATAGCACAAGATGGGGGTGTGGCAGGCCAGGGTGGTCTTGGCAAATGCAACTCTTGGGCAAAAAGACAGAAGCCCATGTCCTACCCAATTTGGGTAAGAAAACAGACCTATCTAGGTCAGTGAGACAGGCCTGAGGGTGTATCCCTACCTAAGAACTGTGTCTGGAATTGGTGGGTTCTTGGTCTTGCTGACTTCAAGAATGATGCTGCAGACTCTAGCAGTGAGTGTTACAGTTCTTAAAGATGGTGTGTCCAGGGTTTCTTCCTTCTGATATTTGGATGTGTCTGGTGTTTCTTCCTTCTGGTAGATTCATTCTCTCACTGACTTCAGGAGTGAAGCTGCAGAACTTGCCAGTGAGTGTTACAGCTCATAAAGGCGACATGGACCAAAAGAGTGAGCAGCAGCAAGGTTTATTTCAAAGAGTGAAAGAACAGAGCTTCCACAATGTGGAAGGCGACCTGAGTTGGTTGTCACTGATGGCTCAGGTGGCCTGCTTTTATTTCCTTATTTTGCCCCACCCACATCCTGCTGATTAGTCCAATTTACAGAGAGCTGAATGGTCCATTTTACAGAGCACTGATTGATTCATTTTTGCACAGTGCTGATTGGTGTGTTCACAAATCTTTAGCTAAATATACAGTGCTGATTGGCACATTTGCAATCCTTTAGCTATACAGAAAAGTTCTCCAAGTCACCACCCAATTAGCTAGACACAGAGCACTGATTGGTGCATTTACAAACCTTAAACTAAACACAGAGTGATGATTGGTGCATGTACAATCCTTTAGCTAGATACAAAAGTTCTCCAAGTCCCCACCTGACCCAGAAGCCCAGCTAGCTTCACCTTTCAATCCCCCTTCTAAACTGGACACCCCAACTGCTGTTGGGAATTTGGCCGATGACTACTGTAGCTACTTCCTGCTGGATAGGGGTGAAGAAGGGACCCTTCAATTCTAGTGTCCTCCAGAGGGGAACTCTTAGGAAATGGAAGGGTCAGTGGGTTGATTCAGGGGTCCTCGGTAGAAGTTGTTAGTTGAACTCATTTAGGGTTCCATTTGTAAGACCATCTGTAGCTTGATGGCCTCGATTCTAGAGGAAAAGCATTTGAGAAGAAGGTTAAAAATACAGGGCCCAAAGGCGAGTAACAGCAAGATGGCTGCTATGGGACCTAGAAAGAGGAGAAGCCATGTTGCCCAACTCCAGAAGTTGGTATAAGAGTTTGAAATGCATTGTCTGATTTCAGAAGACTTTTCCTGTAAAAACTGGGTGGCATCTCATATTATCCCTGACTGGCTAGTGTGAAAACAACACTCTTCCCCTAAGAAGGTGCAGAGTCCTCCTTTCTCAGCAGTGAGGAGGTCTAGGCTTTGGCGGTTTTGGAGAGTCACTGCTGCCAAAGAATTGATTTGGGATTGTAAAATAAGGATAGATTTCATTATTTCTTGCCAACTGTCTGAGAAATCCTTTGAGAATGTGTGGTATTAGGATAATGCAGTAAATAAACTGGCTATTCTGGTTCCTGTAGCAGTAGCCATTCCTAATCCTATAAGTAGGGGTATTAGTTTATGGCTCTGCACTGATGCAATTGAGCTTTGAGGGGTACTGATAGGGTCTGATTTCCTGGGGTAATGTTAATGTTGGGACTTAGAAAGACTAAGTTGCAGGTGACTGTCCAGTTAGCGGGGAGGCAGATATAGGTCGACATTCCACATAAGAAGAATATACATTGGCTGGGTAGAAGGAACTTGTTGTGTATGTTAA
Organism: Homo sapiens; assembly: GCF_000001405.40. Taxonomy (NCBI): domain Eukaryota; kingdom Metazoa; phylum Chordata; class Mammalia; order Primates; family Hominidae; genus Homo; species Homo sapiens. The sequence goes on along the minus strand of NC_000024.10, from coordinate 8,987,497 downwards.
AAAGGTGTGTGAGTTTCTTAAAAACGTGTGTGAACTTGTTGTTTTCATTTTCCCATACTCCTAGGGTACTTGTCAAGGTAGCTCTGGTGAGTGGCTGGAAAGGGCTGTTGCGAGAAACTGAGTTGCTCCCTGTGTTCTATTTTCCCACTAGAGAAAAAACCATTTTATATCTACTATAAATAATTACTGAAAGAGGGGATGAGAAGGCATTCAATAGTGGTGGGGTCACTGCTGTGGGGGGTCTAGGGGTGATTGGTCATGCACAGAGTATGTGTGCCATTACAAAACCTGGACTGTTTGTTAAGCAGGGAGGAGGTGATGATATTTGAGGGTGCTGAGAAGTGGACAAGCCATCTGAATGGAGCTCTTTGGGTGACTAGGAAGTTACTATGATCAGTTGGGGCTTGAAGTTGTAGGGTGTAATTACAATGATGGGGTAGTTGGTGCCCCAGGACCAAGCCTGATAACAGGTTGCGCTGGACGCATAAAGGGGCTTGGAGAGCTAAGATGGTATTTATAATTACAGAGCCCCGTGTGGCCTTTTCATTGCTTGGGTAATAGGTGAGTTTGGAAATGTAAGAGCGTAAAAGTTGGATTGCAAGTCCTGTTAGGGTATTCTTGGTCCTATCAGAGATGGGGAAATTGGCTAATGATTGCAAATTTTGAAGTCAGAAATAGTCTTTTCCTTCATAAGGAGGGTGGTAGGTTCAGTTGGTAAAGACCTAGTTTTTTTTGTGGGAATGGGAGTGGCAACATAAACAGAGGTGGACAGATAGATACAAAGCCAAGAGTCATTTGCCAGGGAATGATTGGGCTGGTTTAACAGACAGTGGATTAAGTTGAGAGTCTTTTAGAGGTAACTAAGAGCTAGTGGAAAGGGAGGAGAGATTGTATGAGGTACCCAAGGAAGCAGGAAGGATAGATAGGTAAAGAGTAAATAGGAAGGTAAAGAGGGTGCTCTAGAAGATGAGATCGTTTTATCTAGGCTGAGTTAAAGGTAGGAATAAATTGCTGTCATAGGGAAGGAAGATAGAAAGAAGGTTGATGTGATTAGGATTTTCATCCCATAAGGAGCTACAGTATATAGTCCTATCACAAAGAGTATGGTTAATATGCTGCTTAATAATATGATAAATTAGTAAAATGATTCCATTAAAGGGGAAGGAGAGGTGTTAAAGATTATGTAGGTTTTCACTTATCTTTTTTAAGGAGGAAGGGATTTTTCCTCAGGATCAGTGGTAGGAGCTTTTTAGTCTGGGATGTTTCCTTCCAAAATAGGACATGCAAGTCCTCCAACAGTTCACAAGTGTATCGAGGCTGGTCTGTCTGATCTTGGGACTCCTGAGCTGATGGTCCTGCAGGTTTCTCAGGAGATGTCCAAAATTTAACTCAGGTCTGGTGAATCCAAGATCCCACTGCTGCCACCTTAACTGCAGTGGGGGTAGAGAGGATTACCAAGTATGGCCCTTCCCACAAAGAGTCCATAGCTGGGGAGGTAGAGAGGAGAAATTTGACCAACACAAGATTTCCTGGTTGAAACAACTCTGTTCCCTTTTCTCTGTGACATCCTTTAGGTAGGTTTTTAAGGTTTTGTTGATATTTTGCCAAAGAAGTTATATCTTTGACCAAGTTGGCCATTTTCTGATCAGGTAGGAGGTAATTTGTGAGAAAAGATTGTCCACAGAGCATTTCATATGAACTGGATCTCGTTTTGTGAGGAGAATTTTGGAATCTCAACAAGGCCATGGGAAAAAGAGTAGGCCATGGGAGATGAGTTTCTTGCAGTCCTCTTCAAGATAGCGACCTATTCTTTGTTCCCCCTAAGGGGCCTTATGATGGATGAAGGGATTATTCCTTTGGCCTACCTCATAGGATTTGACTACCTGTCAGATGTTTTGGGGGAGATTTGGCCCTGTAAATAGGGATTTGGCCATTTGATGAGTGTTTTCAAAACCCATATGAAAAGTTTGGTGGAGGGTTTTAAATATTTTCCACTGGCTGGCTTCGGACATAAGTACCTTTCCTTCTTCTGTCGTTAACCACCCTGAAGGGAGAAAACTATGCCCCTGTGAAAGTCCCCATTCTGTTTCATTTGGGGAATACTGGGGCTTAATCTCTTGCAGGGGGTTGTTCTATACCAAGCGTCCTTCCATAGGTATTTCTAATGGGAGGTTCCACCTGGCAGCAATTTTAGCCTCAGCATCTGCCTGATGGTTTCCTTCTGCCTTTTCTTCTTCACCTTTCTGATGGCCTTGGCAGTGTAAGACTGTCACCTCCTTGGGTTTTGCACTGCATGAAATAACTCCATAATTAACGTGTGGTATTTAATGGGGATTGCCCAAGAGGTTAGGAACTATCTTTCTTTCCATATTGCAGCAGGGGTATGTAGGATTAGATAAAGATACTTGCTATCTGTACACACATTTATTCTTTTTCCTTTTCCCAGTTCTAAGGCTCAGGTAAGTGCCACTAGTTCTGCTAACTGGGTGCTGGTCCTTGGGGGAAGAGGCTTACTTTCAAGTACAGTTACATCACTAACTATGGCATATCCTGCCCTTTGCATCCCATTCTCCACAAATGAACTTTCATTGGTATATAAGGTAAGGTCAGGATTAGCTTAGGGGACTTCTAAGAGATCATCTCAGGTGGCATAAATCTGGACCATAATTTGTTGGCAGTCGTGGTCGATTGGTTCCTCATGCTCAGGGAGAAAAGTGACAGGAATGAGGGCTGCACATATACTTATTTGATGCAGCAGTCCCTAAAGGAGTGGTGCCTTGTATATAAATATGTGGTTGTCTGATAGTCATAAACTTCCTTTGGCACCTAGTGTGCCATTTACATCATGAGTACTCCAAACAGTGAGATCCTTTCCTTGTATTATTTTGGTATCCTCTGACACTAAGACAGCCACCACTGCAACTACCCTTAAACATTGAGGCCAGCCTTTTGCTACTGCATCAATTTCCTTACTTAGGTGTGCCACTGGTTGTAGGGTTGCCCCATGAGTCTGAGTAAGGACTAGCCCTGCTCTCTCTGTGAGGTATAAAGAGAAGTTTTGTCCTGTGGGAATGCTTAAAGCTGGAGCTTTTACTAGGGCATGCTTTAAGGTTTTGAAGGCTGTTTCTTCCCCTGGTTCCCACTCTAGTAGATGAATATTTGCCATCTGGGTCTTCTTGCTTAGAGTACAGATGGTTATGGCTATCTCACTGTATCTGGGGATCCATAGTTGGCAAAAGCTGGTGATTCCAAGGAACCCCCACAACTGTTTTAATGTTTCAATGTGAGGATAAGTCAGTATAGGCTGTCTTCATTCCTTGCTGAGGGCCCTGGTTCCTCTGGATAATATTAGGCCTAGATATTTGACCTGCTGTAGGCAAAGCTGGGCCTTCAACTTAGATGCCTTGTACTCTTGATTAGCTATAAAGTTCAAGAGATCTAGAGTAGCCTGCTGGTATGAGGCTTCCAAACTAGTAGCCAAAAGTAAATCATCCACATATTGAAGGACCAGAGTGACTGGATTTAAGAAGTGGCCTAGATCTTGGGACAGTGCCTGACCAAACAGATGTGTGCTATACCTAAACACTTGGGGCAAGACTGTCCACAAAAGGTGGGATGTGTGGTCCCTGCTATCCTCAAAGGCAAAGACAAGCTGGGAGTCAGAGTGCAGGGGAATATAGAAGAAGGCATCCTTGAAGTTCAGAACAGTGAACTATTCTGCTTCCTCTGGTATTTGAGGCAGCAGGTTATAGAGTTTGGGTACAACTGGATATAGAGAGATTACTACCTCCTTGATGAGTCTAAGATCCTGCACTAGTCTCCAATGACCATTCATTTTCTTGTACTCCTAGAATTGGGGTGTTGCAGGGACTGCTGCATTTCCTTACTAAGGCTCGATTGAGCTTTTAAATGTTTAGCAATATCCTGTAATCCTTTTTGAGATTCAGGCCTTAAGGGATATTGCTTTGATAAGCAAAAGTGCTGGTGTCTTTTAGCCTGATTTGGACTGGGTGAGCATTTTTTTCTGCTTCCAAATTGTCCTTCCAATCCCCAGGATTCAGGGTTGATTCCCTCCTCAAGTAGTAGACAACAAATGGGTAACTTGATCCCCATAGTCATGCAGATAATAGCTCCAGCTTTGGCTAATATATCCTTCCCTAATAAGGGTGTGGGACTTTCAGACATAACAAGAAGGGCATGTGAAAAGAGTAAGCTCTCCCAATTACACCTGAGGAGATTGGAGAAATACCTGGTTACAGGCTGTCCCAGGATTCCTTGGATGGTAACGGACCTTGATGACAGTCGTCCAGGACAGAAGATTAACACTGAGAAGGCTGTGCCAGTGTCTAGGAGGAAATCAATTTCCTGGTCCTCAATGGTTAAATGTACCTGGGGCTCAGTGAGGGTGATGACATAAGCTGGTGCTTGCCTGAGGCAAATTCAGTCCTGTTGTTGGGTCATCTGGTTGGGGGCTTCTGGCCCAGAGAATTGTTACACTCTAGGGCAGTGTGCCTTCCAGTGATTGTCTCAGCATAGCAGACATGGAAAAGGGGGTGGCTTGTTTCTCATTGGAGAACCTTTTATAAAGTGTCCTTGTAAACCACACTGATAACAAGCCCTACCAGCTGACTGGCCTGCTGCATTTTCTGTCCTCTCTGAACCACAAAAGTTTGTCTCTCCGAGGGCCATGACTAAGGCTGTGGCCTTTCTCTGATCTTGCTTTTCCTTTTGGGCCTGTTCCTCTTGGCCCCTATTATAAAACATCGAGGAACCAGGTTTAATAATGCCTCCAGATTTTGCTCCAGGCCCAGGCTTGCTTTCGGAGCTTTCTACTGATATCTGGGTCTGATTGGGTAATAAATTTATCTCTTAGAATCAATTGACCCTTGAGTAATTCAGGTAACAGGGGAGAATATTTTCTTAAGGCCTCCCATAGCCACTCAAGGAAGGCAGACTGATTTTCTTCCTTTCTCTGAGTTATGGTGGACATCATTGAATAATGCATGGTCTTTTTCCTAATTCTCCTTAATCCTTTTAGAACACAGGTTAACAGATGTTTATGACCGCAGTCCCCATGATCTGAGTCAAGGCCTCAGTGGGGATCCATACTGGGGATGGCTTACTGACCAGTAGAAGATTTGTCCCTTTCCCCCGCTGTCATTCTATCATTTACTTGACTAAGATACCAGGTATCTCCAAACTCTCGGGCTGCAGGTAAGCTGCATTCTTTTCATTGAAGGCCAGGGATTGATCTAACAATAGCATGACATCTCTGAAAGCAAGATCAAAGGTTTGCCCTAGACCCTGTAGGACATCTATGTACCTATTTGAAACTTCCAAAAACTTCCCCAGGTCTTCCTTTATCTGATTTAAATCAGAGATGGAGAAGGGGACATGTACTTGGGTTGGGCCAAATTCCCCTCCCCCTACAGCTTGAAGAGGACATAACTAATAGTCTGGGGATTTTTGTAGTCCTTTGGAGATTTCTTTGCTTATTTCCTTCTGAGCAGAGGAGATTAGAGGAAGCTTATCATTAATAGGAAGGGGAGCCATAGGGAGGCTAGTATATGGGAGTAAGCTGAAAGGTCCTCCTGTGGGATGTAAATTACAAGCTTTGCATAATTGTGTATTCTACTTCAATGAAAAGAAGAATATTGGGGCCAGGCCATAGTGCAGAGAAAAATGAGCTGCCTCTTTTTCAGGTTTTGTGGGTCAAATTGGTCCCAATGGCTAAGGATATATTTCAAGGGTAAGCCTGTTGATGCCTGAATGTTTCCAATCTGAAAGACAAAACCACCTGCAGTTCTGGTTTGTTTTGTTTCTCTCCCTGCCCAAGAACCTGCAATGGTTCCTGGACCCTGCTGACAGGAATAGTTGTGCTGATTGATGCAGCAGCAGAAACACAAGTTTTCCTCCCAGACCACAAGGAGGACCAAGGAAGTTCAGACTTAGTGGCCCTTACTGACATATTCTAGAAAAACTGTTAGAGTCCTTAGCATTCTTCTGTTAGTATTGGGAACATACCCATGTCCTATAAAGATGCTATTCCCAAAAATGAAGTGGAGGGAAGAAGGGATCTCCGGGGTTGGAAATGACACCTTTTATCCTCACTTATATGAATAGGAAGGATACAATTTCTGAGGCTCCCCATATCCTAGCTTCAGGAATAGCTTTTGCTAGGCCTGCTAGTCTGAGGAGGGATCCTAAAATCCCAGATAATTCCCCCTACAATGGTGCTTTGGGAAAAAAATATGTCTCTCTGATTGGTAAGCCCATGTGCCTAAAGAAGGGAATAGAGTCCTGGAGTTTATACTAGAAATTTTTCTTATAGGAGAAACTAGAAAAGTTCCAGAGACTGGCAGTGGTTTTTAGAAGTGGGGCTATCCTGGGAGAGGAGAGGTGAAAGGAAGTTTGTCTGGCAGATGTGAGGACCCAGGGGGCAAGGGTCAGAACAGATGGGTAGATGGGCGAGTCTCACTTGGGCAACATGCCTTGGAGAGTTCAACTCATGGCTGCAGGGTCAACCAACTTGTTGTCAGGACCCCAGAGATGAATGGCTTTCCTCTCTCTTGACCGCTGGCTCAGCCCAGAAGTACAGGAAAGGTGGAAGCTGGCTCCAGACAAACCAACGTTCCCAACTCCAAAGAGTTGGGGATTGTTAGAGAGTCATTTCCCAGAAAGCCTGACACCCATGTCTTTAGTCTCATGGCTGCACTAGTCAATTTTAACTGGCTGACAGGTGCCCAGTATTTAGCCCCTGAATTCTAAGGAAAAATAGGACAGAATAGCAAGTAAAAGTGATCTGATGGTACTCACCACTTGTCGATAGGTGATAATCTCACTGCTTGGTGATAGGCGATGTTCCCTTTGTGGTAGCCAAAGTGCGTCCAGAATGGGTGGGTTCGTGGTCTAGCTGACTTCAGAAGTAAAGCTGCGGACCTTCATGGTGAGTGATACAGTTCATAAAGGTGGCATGTCCAGAGTTGTTCATTCCTCCCAATGGGTTTGTGGTCCTGCTGACTTCAGGAGTGAAGCTGCAGACCTTCATGGTGAGTGTTACAGCTCATAAAGGCAGCGTGGACCCAAAGAGTGAGCAGCAGCAAGATTTATTGTGAAGAGTGAAAGAACAAAACTTCCACAGCGGGGAAGGGGACCTGAGTGGGTTGTGGCTGCTGGCTCAGGTGGCCTGCTTTTATTCCCTTATTTGGTCTGGCACACATCCTGCTGATTGGTCCAATTTACAGAGAGCTGTTTGGTCCATTTTACAGAGTGCTGATTGGTCTGTTTTACAGAGTGCTGATTGATTCATTTTGACAGAGTGCTGATTGGTGCATTTATAATCCTTTAGCTAGACAGAAAAGTTCTCCAAGTCCTCACCCAATTAGCTAGAAACAGCACTGATTGGTGCATTTACAAACCTTTAGCTAGACACATAGTGCTGACTGGTGTGTTTACAATCCTTCAGCTAGACACAAAAGTTCTCCAAGTCCCCATCAGACCCGGAAGCCCAGCCAGCTTCACCTCTCAGAACCACACCCTCCTCTAAGAGGCACTTCACTGACCCCCTTCCATATCAATATTTTTTAAAATTTAAAATTCCAAAAATAGTACCCAAATCCTTTAGAGAAGATAATTGGAGAAAATGGCATCAGAAAAGCCAGTCTAGGATTAGGGCCACTCCATGGAAAATGGAAACACAGAGAGCATTACTGCAGGCATGGAATCATTGTGGAAACATTCCCTACTGAAAAGGAGTGGGAAACAAACAGGCTTCTGTAATCTTCTTGTTCTCTAATCTCTGCAGAGTCACCCCTTGACTGATCTGAAACAGTAATTTTTATGGGAGCCTAGGAACACTGCCTCCCAGGGGCCAGGCCTCTCTATTACAGAATAGTGCCAGGGAGAGATGAGTGATGTAGCTGTGGGAATACAAATCCAGGACCTCACACAAAGGAGTATCAGAGACAAACATAGTGTCAAAGGATCAAGAGATAAGTAGTCTCAGGAAAGATTCATACATGATATTAGGGAAAAGACCAAAAAATAAAACAGAGCTTATGAGGTTGTAAACATAACAAAACGTAAAGAAACGCAGGCAAAATTGTAAAGTACATGGTATTTACCTTTCCTTAATAGGATTTTGAAAATCTCTTCCAGAACACTTTTTCCAATATCTTCCATTCATGGATTCATTCAAGAAATATTTATTGAGCTAGTATGGTCTAAGAATTTGGCAGATGGCATCATATGCACTGTTAGTACTTCTATCATTGATAGAATGTTTTTTTTTTCTATAGTGTTTTTCTCCCAAACTTTCTGCTTCCAAATTGGAATACTTACAGGTGCCATCAATTCTTCTTGCCCTAAGAAGGTTCCCCAAACCCTTGTAAACCCAGTTGAGAACTTCCTTCCTCTCCAACTCCGTTACTAAATTGTATCTGTTGTAACACTTGTCAGAGTATATTGCAATTATTTCTCTTCTCTTCGTTCTCCAATTAAACTATGAATATTTTGAAGAAAGTGTCTATAAACACAATCGCTTGACATTTGTCAATATTTTTTATACCAAAGCTTATTAGATATTTATATATAATCTTCTAACATATTTACCCTAATTCCTGGAAAATGATATAAACAATATTCACTGCCTGTTCCCCATGAATTGCTCAACTTTAAACAATATCTATGCTTTGGAGCAATTATACAAACTTCCAAAAAACACCTGAAAGTGTTTTTATTTTAATTTACTTTGTTTTGTTATATTGAATTATTTTGTAGAGACAACGTCTTGCCCCGTGGCTCAGGCTGAAGTGCAGTGTGCAATCACAGCTCACTGCAACCTTGAACTCATGAGTAAATAGAACAACAGATGTGTGCCATCATGCCCAATTTAATTAATTAATTAATTAGTTACATTTGTAGAAGTAGATCTTGCTATGTTGCCTGTGCTGGTCTGGAATTCTGGGCTTGAAGCAATCCTTCCTTCTCAGACTCCCAAAGAGCTTTGATTCCAGGCATGAACCACCAGACCTCCAACAGGAAATTTTAGATTTTAGAATCCTGCAATATGTTAGACTTAATTTCTTCTTTTAATTTTGCATTTGCAGTGTCACTTGAGAATAATTATTTCTTATGGGGAGAGTGTGATTTCTCATATTTGGTCACCATGTTTTGAAATCTTTATTTTGTTTACTTAAACCCTAATAACTGGTAGACAACTGACCTGAAAGTCAAGTACATGGGTGGTTTTGTGTTGAGGTTATGAAGACAAATGTAGAGAGACATTAAGAGCCAAAACACATTATGTGTGTATCTATACCTCTATCTCTATCTATATCTGTATCTATCTATCTATCTGTATGCTATCTATCTATATATATACATACATATACTAAAGCTTTATGCTTGCAGGTGAGGCATCGTACATAGCAGGGATAGTTTTATAAAATACCCTGAAATACATAATTTCGTGACCAATTCAACACGTGCAATTTCCCAACTTTGTTTTCATCAGGAGTTAATGAGCTATCACCCTTCTAGTTAAGTAAATGAATGTTTGAATTGCTATGATGTATTTTAGCCATTGCTCAGCTAACCATTTACGTTATCAAAGATTTTTACTTGTGCAATACCATAAATGTTGGACGTTAAAAATTAATGAACAGGATTTATGTATCTAAGAGCTGCCATTTAATGTGATATTCTACAGTAAGTTGGACAGCAGTAATTATGCCAAAAAATAGTCATTCCCATAGTGTGAACCATTACAGCAATTTCCACCTGAGGATTTCACAGTCAGAGTGGAGGTCTGGGCAAGAGTGATTAACATAATGGTTATTAATGAGAAGAGATTTTGATATATCTAGCTGTGTTTAGATATCAGTGCCTTGAAGGAATAGTTTGGTAGTAATAAGAAATGGTGCATTGGACTGGATACTAAGAAATGTATTGAATTGTTTTTCTTGTTCTCTACAACCTGAAAGTTCAATTAGAGATATAGAAACAATAGAGTATTTCACAGCATGGCCTGACATTTCACTCAACTTTTTTTAAACCATGTACAAAGTTCATTAGGTATGCAAAGTTAGGACTGTTAAAAGACGAAAGTGTTGGAGTCAGAGGTCACAATCCACAGCAAGGTGCTAGTCTCTTATGGACAGCAAACTGAGCACTGAATTAGTGTGAAAATCAACTTTCAGGCTGCCAACAGGGGAAAAAGATAATGAAGCTATCAGCAGGTAAAATTACTGGATTAATTGAAGTGAATGTTGACAGAGATTTTGTTGGCTTTACATCAAATTGAGTATAGTACTTCAAATTGAGTATTTGATAAGGATAAATGCTTATCAAATTTCCCACACGTATAATTAAAAGATTATACAACCCATACATTATGGGTATCTCATATAAATTTTTATACACATGTGCAAACTTGCAGTGTGCAAATATTTGTCTATATCTAAATATATCCAAATCCATTGATGAACAGTTAGAAATTTAGAAATTATTCTCCCATTTTACCATTCCCTTTCCTAGAATTTCATCACAAATATAATTTTTCTATCTGAAGCCTACTCTCTGGAGGCATGTAATGTATGGATACAGAAAAGCTGTGAGATATCACAAGGTTTGTATCAGAGAAAACAATACCACTGGTGTTATAAAAGATCTACTGTGAAAAGAAAGTTATACCTCACATGACTACAAATAAAGAAGTATTATTTCATCAAAAGCTGACAGCAGTCAATACAATTTGTTTTTAATGTTTTATTTAAAATATTTAACTCAAAAGACTTATTTGAGTGGAATAATGTTATTGGTAATAAATAATGATTAAAAATTTCCTTTCATTTGTTGATTATTTAAAATGTAAGTAAAATACTAAAAGGCACTGTATAATGTAGTTTCATGAAGCATTCTCTATGGTTTTTCTAAAATTAATAACCTCAATGGAATTTTTTGACACAGAGAAATTTCCTTATATCATTTTATTATTGTACTTTCACTTTACTACTTGCTTGCATAAGTCATGTGATATAAATAAAAATATTTTTATTTACATATAATCAAAGCATGGATTTTTATTTACATTTTCTAGTGAGAGAAAGTCACCAATAATTTTATCTATATAGAAAAATTTTGATAAGCCTAAAGTTCTGAACTTTCTTTTCTTTTGAAGATTCATATTTCAGTCTAGGTATGAGATGAAATTGACTAAGATCATTTTTTGATTTCACTATGACTACTGAGTTTCTGATTCAGTGTTACAAATATATAGACTTAAAAACTTGATTTCTTCTTCTTCTTCTCCCTTTGGACCTGTCTATGTGCTATCTGTAGTAATGTGCACCGTTATCTGAAATAAGGTTGCTGAAAGATACAAGCATAAATGGAATTCTTTATTTCTGTGAACCTTTTGGAACAGACAGGTAAAACTGAAAGATAACTATGATATGAATTTAAGTCTGCATTTTCTCACAGAAGTACAATAAGCATGAAAATACATTTAAAAATACATACCTCATCCATAACATGAGGTAGAAAAATGAAAATTTAATTTGACATAAAGAGCAGTTTAAATCATAACTTTTAAGTTATGATTATTTCTGGTGAGAGCAACTAGCACCAAAAATCCTATTTTCCCTGTTTTAATACATGAAACTATTACTGTATCTACAGGCTTTAAAAAGAGTTAATTAACTCTGGCCTGGAGCAGTGGCTCACACCTGTAATCCCAACACTTTGGGAGGCCAAGGCAGGTGGATCACAAAGTCAGGAGATTGAGGCCATCCTGGCTAACACTGTGAAACCCCGTCTCTATTAAAAAATACAAAAAATTAGCCGGCTGTGGTGGCAGGTACCTGTAGTCCCAGCAACTCATCAGGCTGAGGCAGGAGAACCTGGGAGGCGGAGTTTGCAGTGAGCTGAGATCCTGTGCCACACCGTATCAGCCTGGGCAAGAGAGAAAGACTTTGTCTCAAAAAAAAAAAAAAAAAAAAAAATAGTGAACTCTAACTTAAGCAACAACTTTACAGTCATTCAAACAATAGGTGCGTAATCTTAGAATTTCTCAGTGGATTTTTTGGGAGAAATATAATCTAATCTAGCTTTACAAACAATTGAATTAATCAATGAAATTATGACTGTAGTCTCGAAATTTCATTGTCCTCTTTTTCGTTTATACATATTTTCTTTAAAATTCAAAAGCCCCTAGAAATCATATAACAAATAATAATGATTGAAACAGTTGAAAAATAAAAATGGAGCAGCAGACACATTTCAAGATTTCCTTTATGAGAATGCTACACTAACCATGTGATATATGTGGTATAAATACAGCATGAGAGAATAACATTTGTGTAGCACTTGACTGTTTATACAGTAATAGCAAATATTTTCATTTGACCTTCGAAGGATTTTTAAACCCATGTTTAATAACTGAGGAAAATGTGATTAATACAAATCAGAGCTGTTAAGTCTTCTTAGGAACATGTCAGCCAATAAAGCAGAGGCATGAGTTTTCTTCTGGAGGGAAGAAAAAGGCAACATTTATTAAAGTCATGAGTTTTGTTCTTTTTTTTTTTTTTTTTTTTTTACATTTCATCATGTATTAACGTTTTGTTTATCAAAATTGTTGCCCTTATTTCCAGTTATATTTCCTGTATTTGCCTATTACAGCACTTAACACACTTATTATTCCTCATTTATCTATGTGCCTGTAACAACTGCACACTCAGAAGAGCAAAGACCATGTTTTTCTGAGCTTCTTGCTGACTGCCAGGCTTATTGTGGCATTTAGAAACTATCTGCTAAATGTTTGTGACATTTTCATGTAAGTTACGTTCTAGACCACTTGATACTAATTTTCTATTCAGTTTTAGGGTTTGGAGAGCTATTTTTCCTTTTAATTTTTTTATTATACTTTATGTTCTAGGGTACAAGTGCAGAATGTGCAGGTTTATTACATAGGGATACATGTGCCATGGTGGTTTGCTGCACACATGAACTCATCATTTACATTAGGTATTCCTTCTAATACTATGCCTCCCCCAGACCCCCATCCCCCAACCGGCCCAGGAGGGTGATGTTACCCACTGTGTGTCCATGTGTTTTCATTGTTCAACTCCCACTTATGAGAGAGAACATGTGGTGTTTGGTTTTCTGTCCTTGTGATAGTTTGCTTAGTATGATGGTTTTCAGCTTCATCCATGACCCTGCAAACACAATGAGATACCATCTCATTGCAGTTAGAATGGCGATCATTAAAAAGTCAGGAAACAATAGATATTGGAAAGGATGTGGTGAAATAGGAATGATTTTAAGTTTTTTTTTTTTAAAGGATACTTTAAGGATACATTATTCGGAGGTGGAGTGGACAGTGCGCGTCATGGTCAGCGGGAAGTCCAGAGGAGGAACCCCTTTCAAATTGGAGGCTCTGCGGGAGACAGCAGCCAGGGTATAGAGTGCAGAGGCGCCCTTGGCGGGGAGAAGGTGCTGGTGCTGGACGACATCATGGCAGTGGTCCAGATAGTAGTCGAGGAGAAGGCCAACATAGAGCAGTAGAAGGACTACCAGCGGGCACAGCCTGGCCCTGGCCCCAGCATGCCCCAGCAGGCAACAGACTCTCTGGAGGTCCTTTACTTGGAGCTGCACTCTGTGGATGCCCCAGGCTGCATGGGACACACGGCTGAGGCGGAAGTTTTGGCCGAGGCGCCTGCCCGGGCTGGACGGCACAGGGGCCATCAGCCAGGGCATCTCCCGCTTCTGGGCCAGAGCCATATCCTTGCAACAGCCCATTGAGGATAACCGACAACAGGGGATGGGCGTCAGGTTTCCGGGGGTGGGGAGAAACAGAGCCAGGCGGGAGGCATACAGGGTCAGTCAGGAGGCAGGGCATGGGGACACAGAGGGGAGCCGAGGCCAGCGTCCTGCAGATAGGAGGGCAGCTTGCTTGCGGGTGCACTGAGAGTACGTGGTAGGGACTGGGAGCCAATCTCAGCACTCACAAGTGAGAACAGTGGCTCCAAGGACCCTTCACGCACAGCAAGATGAAGGGCACGTTTCCCTGGAAAAGTCCTTGGAAAAAGGGAGTCTGCATGCCCACGCCAGCCATAGAACCACTCCCACTCCCCGTGTTGGTGTCCAGCAACCTCACTCCAGAAACACAAGGTGCTCAAGACCTGGGTTCACGGTACATGGGGATGCCATCCTCTGCAAGGCAGGCACCAGCTTCCTAGACATGCTTTCTTCCCTCTGCCTGCACTGCAATCAAAGAGCTGTAGTTCCTGAGCATATAAAACCTCCATTGCACACATGCCTCCGCTGCACACGCGAGCCCCCTGGAGTGTTCCAGTCACAGCCCTGCAGTCCCTTCTACCCACAGTGGTTACCTCAAATGGAGACGCCCACCCCTCAGGGAGACCAGAAGAGGGGACCACACACCTGGACACCCTTACTATAGCCTGTCCAGCACTGAGCACACAAGTGCCAGGTGCAGCTCAGGAACTCTGAGGAAACAGCTGCGTCACACCACAGCACCCCACACCCAATGCCCTGCCTACTCGTGCTCCCCTCTCGATGTTGGCAGAGGCTTTCTGGGCCTCCCTCCACCCACCCACAAGAACAACACTCCTGCTACTATGCCCCCACATGCCGGACAGAGACAGGACCACCAATGCACAGTGCCAGGCCAAAGATCTGGGGTATAACCCTGCCCAACACTCTCCCAGCTCTTGCAAAGTTGCAGGATGTTTCCTGGCATGTCCACCCAATCATCTCGAGCCTCCTTCACCAGAGGCAGATTGTGCTGCACACCAAGATGTCAGTCAGGTTCAGAAATCATGAGGAGGCTGGGCACGGTGGGTCACACCTGTAATCCCAGCACTTTGGGAGGCCAGTGTGGGCGGATCAGGAGATCAGGAGATCCAGACCATCCTGGCTAATACAGTGAAACACAGTCTCTACTAAAAATACAAAAAATTAGCCAGGCTGGTGGTGGACACCTGTAGTCCCAGGTACTGGGGAGGCTGAGGCAGGCGTGAACCTGGGAAGTGGAGCTAGCAGTGAGCTGAGATCCCGCCACTGCATTCTAGCCAGAGTGAGACTCCATCTAAAGAAAGAAAAGAAAAGAAAAGAAAAAGAGAAAAGAAAAGAAGGAAAGAAAGAAACCATGAGGAAGTCCTGCTAAGTAAGCTACATGATGGATTTGCAGATGAGGCTGGGGATCCTGGGTCTGGGGGAGGGGTCAAGGGTCCCGGTCAGGTTGAGGTCCTCCTGGGGTCCAGGGGTGTCTCACTGGGAGAGCTGGGAAGGGGAAATGCATGCTTCATCCTAGCCAGCAGGCCCTCAGCCTAGCAAGATGAAATGATCCCTTTGAGTCTGTTCTCTTCTTCTTGGACTGGCACGTGGAGAAACAGTCATCCAGGGTACTGGCAGCAGGACAAAGTTTTCCTTTTGTCACAGCCTTTATTTCTGCAATGAAGTGATCATTAAGGAGTATCAGGTTGGCATCATCTATAAGAAGTGCCTATTGGCATGGCAGCGGGGGTGGAGTGTGGGAGGCTAGGCCTGGCATGAGCCTTCCCAACTCCTCTTGCTCCAGGATACAGGATGTCTGGCATGACTATAGCCCAGTGGTTCTAGAGTCATGCAGCAGAAGCCGCCAGCTTCAGGCAGGACACAGCCTAACTGAGCTTCTTCAGCTGGTTGGCTGACCGTGATCACTCAAAGTCAGCCAGGATTGCTGAGGTGGGCACCGCTGAGGGGTGTCATGGGAAAGGATCTTGCTAGTCTTTCCTTGGCATCTGTGGAATTGGCTTTGAACCATGACATGATCAGTCATAGACCCCTTTCCCCAGTCACCCAGTATATCACCCAGGGCCTCTGTCTCAATCCCCTGCAGCACTGCTGGAAGGAGTTAGGCCCTCAAAGAGGGAACAGAGAGGAGGCCAGGTAAAGATCCCAGGGCTGGAGGCTTAGAGGCCTGTGGGTCCTGGAGCTGGGACACACATAGAGAACTCAAGTCTCAGGGAGGAGCCTGCAGTGATAAATCCCAGGCCATCTTTGGGCTAGGGGAGAAAGGCTCATCAGGGAACTGTAACACTCATGTCTCAGAATTGGGGAACCTGAAGTTGCCTAAAAAGGAGAAGTGGTGAAGGTCAATTGGTGCAAAGCAAGGATCAACAGATAGCTGCCATATTATCCTTCCTTGCCTCTCTTCCACGCCTTGAGGATTGCTACCAGCCGGGGTTCAGTTTGTGCTCAGCTAGCGCCCTCTTACCGTCCACACAGAAGTGCACATGAGGCACACCTAGGTCTATGTCCTTCTAGAATGGCTATCCCAGTCCTGTCATGTTTTGTTTCAATGACTCCAGGCTCCCTTCACATGCTTTCTCCCCTCTGCCATCCTCACTCATGCTTCCCCTGCCCCTGAGACATTTCCTATGACATTAAAAAAAAGATGTAATATTTTTAAATGACTTAATAGTATAGATACAGATAAGAATTTTATTACAAAAAATGCTCAGCTTTCTTACTTTTATCAAAGCCTTTTTTCATGATGGGGGAAAGAATGCAACATACTTTGGTAAGTTGTAAAAGTATAAAAGTAATAGTAAATCCTACTGCAGATGAACAGTTAAATCGCAGGGGACCTTTTACGTGTATCCAGCGAGGGAATGTGGCTGAACATTAAGTCCCATCTGATTATTGGTGTAGACACCCTGTTTCCCTTGTACCAGTATGAGTGTGGGCACATTCTAGCCTGCATGTCTGAGCTAGTGCATGCATGTGCACACCTGTGGCTGTGTACCTTTGTGTACCTTGGCTTAGGGGCTGCTGGGTTTGGTGATCCAACTTCAGGACCTGTGAAGCCTGCACACGTGGGAGCTGTGAAGAGTCCTCATGGTTCTCACAAATGGCAGAGGGAGGAGGGAAAGGATGGCTGGCATGAGCTACCTAGAGGAGATGTCATGAACTTGAAATGACATCCAGAGGGAAATAAAACCTAGCTGCTGCCCAAGTCTTCCTGTGTGTTCGTCCAGGGAAGCGGGCATTCAGGAAAGAAGCAATGGAACCTGCCGGGCTTTGTATTTGCTGTTCCTGAATCCCTGTGCACCAGAGAGTGTCTGGCCCATGAGAGAGGAGGACAGCAGGTGGGTCTGGCAGGGCCTGAGTCTCCAGGGAGGCTGGCATTTTCCCCAAGTGGGCATGGGTCAGTAGGTGGAGGAGAAACCTGGGCTGCAGGGCGAGGTAGATGTTACAGTTATCATTTAGCCAGGTGGGAGCTCAGGAGAGGGCCTGGGGAGCAGTGGCCTAACTGGCCAATGATACCCCATTCCAGTGCAGCATGTGCACACAACAGCTTCGCCCCGTACATCGTCTCCAGGATACCTCAGCTGGGTGGATAGGAAGCAAGGCATAGAAGATCCTAAGCTTATGGTCATAAGTGGACCCAGAGGGGGTCCCCAGTATCAGTGGTCCCAGGAGAGCCAGGCAGTGTCTCTTCAGGACAGGGATAAAATGCATAAGTCCAGCTTTCCACTCAGTTGGTGTCTTGCCCTGATGATGTCAGCCATGGCAGATACAACTCTTCCATCTAGATTGTAGATCCACAGCCTTACAACATCGCCCTGGCCTTCTCCAGATAGGCCCCTGAACTCTGGACTGGCCAGTGCCCCACGAATGTTCCTTCCCAGCCTCCAAGCTCACGGGAGGCTCAGTGAGGACTCTCCTCCTAGTACCTGGCCACCCACAGGCACTGTCAACAGCCCAGGGCCCTTCCACATTCTGGGGTCCTGCCACCTTACCCAGCAGTGCTATAATGGAAAGGGAAAGAGCTGGAACAGATAGAGCAGAGGCCACAAGCCTCACCCTTCCTGATAGCAAGGGAAGCGGGGGATCCTTCCCAGGCAAGGGAGATGCTTCCTGAACACACCTGTTAGCCCAGCACAAGCTAAGGGAATCAGTCCGCCACAGCTGGGCATGGGGGATTTCAATGTGTGCCGGAGATCTTGATCCTGGTCGCCTCTCCTTCAAGTAACATTATGCTGACACCCTCCTTAACCCGGATGGACTCCTCATCCTCACCACATGGTGTTGGCTGGAAGTGTTACTCCTGGTGCCCCAGCCACTGTTTCAAGGTGCAGAGACAGTTCAGAAGACCCCTGAGTCCTTGCCCTCCTGTCCAAGTCATATTCATAGAAATAGTAAAAGAGTGGCACATTAGACCTATTGACTTTTTTAAGGCTGACCTCTTCATAAGCATTTCATCCAGATATTTATGAGTTTATCTCATTTATTTTATTTATTTATAGCTCTCATTTCAAAATAAACTTTTGCTTGAGAGTTATTTCAACATATGTTATTTCAACCAAATGTTCAGAGCTATGACATTTAAGTTTTAAGCTGAAAAGTCTGTATCTGTTATTATGTTGGGTAAAACCCATCCAGCACTTATAAAAATAAGTAATTATTAGGCATGATCACTGTAGTGGTTTTAAACACTGAAATTCTTTGCAAACCCATTTCAAAATATTCCTGTTGGGACTGAACACAGTATTTGCTTCTAATTAATAGGAAACAGTGCAAGCATTTTCTGGATACTGGCCACCCCTGGCCTAGGTTAGAAAAGGTGACACAGCTCTGCCTAAGTCTCCTGCTCTCATGGGGAATAACCCCTCAGGAGTCCCAGACCAGTACATCAGGAAGTCTAACACCCTGATAACACTATGTAGAAGGAACATCCTATGGAGAGACTCATACAAATAGAAGCAGATGCCTGAGGATCTCAGCAGTCCAGCTCCTGCTATTTGAGTCATGCTAGCCATGACACCAGGGAGATGAGAAGACACCTGACAATGTCCCCATCCTAAGCCATCATTAGATTGCATCCTCCTGAGTACCCCTGAACCACAATCATTTGGCTGAGAGACTGTGGAAGATTGCAGAGACTGAAGTTAGTAAATTATAATTATTGTTTTAAGCCACTAAGTTTTAGATAATTTTGAAAAGCACTTTAGACTCCTAGAAAAACTGAGTTGTCTACTGATTTGTGTAATTGCGGAGAGCTTTAAAGGTCAACGTCATGAATGCTAATACCTTGGAAAAGTCAAACCATCAAGACTCTTCTAAACACAACAGATCTTTCATGTCCCTTTGCTATGGCTGGAGAGTAATCTGACATGTATCTGATGGAGTTTTTTGAAGCCCCTGTTCACATCTTTTGGCTGGGTGTGGGTTAACTCTGGTCTGGTTTAATTCTAGTCAACTACAGCAACTCATCTTTCATTTTAGGTCCTGGCCTACACTGGTTTTTTGATCACTGACTGTGTCTGTGTCTGTGTATGTGTATGTGTATATATGTTTTGTGTGTTACCGTATTTTATCCAAAGGGGCTAAATAATAGTGCTATCATTGTTTTGTAAACATAAAGCATTCCAGGAAGACAATATTGCTTATCAACTGAGCTTTACAACAGATATCAAGCAGGGCACGGAGGTTCACACCTGCACTCCCAGCAGTTTGGCAGGCCGAATTGGGCTATCTTTGGTGCCAGGAGTTTGAGACAAGCCTGGTCAACATGGCAAGATCCCATGTCTAATATCATACCAAAACTAGCTGGGCATGGTGGCCTATGGATATAATCCCAGCTACTTGTCAGGCTGATGTAGGAGAATCCATTGAACCCTGGAGATGGAGTTTGCAATGAAGTGAGATCACACCACTGCACTCCAGCCTGGACACCAGAGTGAGACTATTTCTCAGAAATAAAAATAAAATAAAATAAAATAAAATAAATAAAATAAAATAAAATGAGAGATTGGAGAGATCACTGAGGTAAGAAATGGATAAAACTTGGTGGCCGTTGTGGCTTGTGCATGGAATCCCAGCATTTTGAGAGGCTGAGGTGGGTGGATCACTTAAGGACAGGAGTTTGAGACCAGTTTGAGCAAACATTGTAAAACCTGGTCTCTATTAAAAATACAAAACAAAACAAAAAAGCCAGGATTGTTGTCATATGCCTGCAGTCATTGGTACTCTGGAGAGTGTGACTGGAGAATTGCTTGAACCCAGGATTGGGAGGTTGCAGTGAGCTGAGATCATGCTACTGCATTTCAGCCTAGGTGACAGAGCAGGATACCATCTAAAAAAAAAATCAAGAAGAGAAACAGAGACAGTGAAAAAAAAGGAAAGAAAGAAAGAAAGAAGAAAGAGAGAAATAAAGAAAGAAAGAAAGAAAGAAAAGAAAGGAGAAGAAAGAAAGAAAAAGAGAGAAAGAATGAAAAGAAAAGAAAAAATAAAAGAAAAAAAGGGAGGAAGAGGTGAGGGACGGGAGGGAGGGAGGTAGAAAAGAAGGAAGGAAAGAAGGAAGGGAGGAAGGACAGAAGGAAGGAGGGAAAGAAGGAAGGAAGGGGAGAAAGGAGAGAATGAAAGGCATAAAACCAAAATGAAATGAATAAAAATAAAAACAGAATTTGCTCTAAAATTTAAAAAAAATGACTAGATATTTAATTTATTGCATTTGTAATGTTCATGATGGACAATTAATCACTTCTTTGAATTATTGTTAAATTAGATAATATTCTTCCATTTCTATGTATGAACATTTCGAAGGCAAAGATAAAGTTATTTTTGTTAGGGAGTCGGGAATTTACAGAAAAGCTCAAGGTTTGATTTAATTTTTGGACTAGAACTAAGACAGAATGAATCTATTTTTGTTTTTGTTGTTGTTGTTATTCTTTGTGGCTTATGTTAGGGAAAATGAAGCAATTAACAATTTTTCCTTGTGTGGAATATGATGTAAACCCTCATTCCTTTAATGGATCAGGGCAAGTTGATACGGTATTTCATTATAGATATTGCGCGAGGCACTCGATTCACTTACCTCTAATAACAAGCCCATGATGATCACAGGGCACTATTTACTCATTGAGTTTTACAATTACACTAGAGATAGAGTTTAACTTGCATTAGTAATACATTAGGCTTAGTAAATAATTTAGTGAGCCCCTTCAGAATGATCTAATATATGAGCACCTAATTGTACAAAATGTATAGCCAATATTATTTCCTGTTAGGGACTCATGATGAGATTACAGAGAAATTAGAAACTAATTAAACATATAGAACCAGTTTCCATTCCGTAGTTCAAACCCACCAGCAAATTTTGCTTTCTTTAAGATGTAGAAATACTTTCTTGTTTTTGAAGAATCTCTTTATCTCTTTCTCTCTGTTTCTCTCCCTCTCTCTCCATTTCTTTCTCTCTGTTTTCCTGTTTCACTCTCTCTCTATTTGCTTCTCTCTGTATGTTTCTCTCTCTCTCTCTCTCTCACTCCTGCTTCATGTTATATGCTAGCAAAAGGATAAGGCAAGGATAGATGTTCTCTAAAGACAGATATTGAAAAGCCTGTTTGAAAAGCTAAGAACAGCCCAATCAAAACATAGAGAAAATAACACTGATTTTTTTAAAAAAGTCATACATAGCATCAGTGATGAGGACATCTTGTTGTTGTTATTACTGCTGTTTCATTCAAGAAACTGTAAACTAGGACAAGATTTATTCCCACATATGCAGATAAGAGCAGTTCAACCACAATAAAGGGATGTCTCACTGATTTGAGTGAAAAATGCAAGACTCCATTTACATGGAAATATAGTATTTTAAAATAAAAAAAGTGGGAGTTTAAAAGCATTCCAATGCACAATGTGAATTGTTTCTTTTTTATATAAAATGAGATAATGTAAGTAAGACACTTCTGTTTTAATTGTTATTGCTATTGAGGTTATCATTGCTGTTCTTGTTAATGTTACTTACTTCTAATTTTCTGTTTTAACTGTTATTGCTACTGAGGTTATCATCAATATTCTTGTTAATATTACTCACTTTTAATTTTTCTGTATAGACCTTAGTCTAACACTTTCTGTACCAAATGCTTGTTTGGCAAAACTACTTTTTTTAGCTAAAGAGTATAAAAGTTATACTCTTTACATATTATATGCAGTAATAATGCTGCATAATTACCCATACCAAAACTTGGTAGCATTTTATAGTAAGCATGTATTTTTGCCTTTGTAACTGCAGAAAAAGAGGGATTTTTTACTCTTCTAAGCTTAGTTGGAATTGGTTTTGTCTCAGTTGATTCTAATGCTTTCTCTTTAAACCTACAGCTAAGTTATTTTCTCCTTATAAAGAAAAGCAGGAAGGCAAGAGCGTAAGTTCAATTGCCAAACACATTTCAAGACCTTCCTTGTTTTTCATGTCTGGGCATCCCATTAACCCCTAAGAGGAAGCAAAGGAATAGGAAAGCACAATTCTGCCATGGAAAGTATGAATATGTGCTAAGCAACAGGACTATTAATTTTAAATAATAAGCCGTTAGGTGGTTTTTATTCTGTGAACAATTAGATTGCAAGTGACTTTACATGTTACCTTTCTACTAGAAATCCATACCCGGAAAGCTTTATCCCTTGCTCCTGATATTAGAGGTGTTCAGTTGTCAGATCTTTTTCTCACTTCCACTGGCTGTATTCCTCCACTCTTCTAACCATCTTCCTACTCATTTTAGAGTCAAAGTGAATTATGTCTTGCCTGTCAGAGTTTATTAATGTTGGATCCTGAAATTACAAAGATTGTTATGTATCTTTCCAATTCTTGTGGCATTATTATTATGGGAAAATGTATACCTTTTTAAAAATAATTTGAAATAATTTAGTAACATAATCCATTTTACGATAAGAAATCTCCTCTCTCAAACACACACACACACTTAAATATTCTCCATGGCAAATTTATTATAATTCAAATAAGCATGAAATATTAAATATTTAAATATTAAATATATAATATAATATAATATAAATATGTTTATATTATATAATGAAGAGATTATTTTTTGTTAAATACAAGGTAAGTTGATATGCTACATTTTTTCTTTTTGTCACAAAATTTCCAAACACCTGTGCCAAAGTATTAATACACAGTATCATATATATTGAGATTCCATCTGACAAATTCTGACATTAATTCATCTTTTGATCCAAAAATTTATTCCTATTTTAATAAAGATACACATTTGAACTTTATCCATTCTGCACCTTCTTAAGGCTCCTTTTAATAATGAACTTAAAAATCAAACTTTTATATTTAATATTATTGCTGGTATAGTCTCATTTATATAAATAGGTGTTCTGTTCTTTAAATGATGATGTATGATACATAGGCAAGATGATATCCTGGAGCTTTTATATTTTATTATATATATATTTTTGAGACAGAGTCTCACAGGGTTGGAGTGCAGTGGCATGATCCCACCTCACTGCAATCTCTACCTTTGAGTTCAAGTGATTCTTCTGTCTCAGCCTCCTGAGTAGCTGGACAAAAGGCTTCATTCACCATCATGTCTGGCTGATTTTTGTATTTGTAGTAGACACGGGGTTTTTCCATATTACCCAGGCTGGTTACGAACTCCTGACCTCAAGTTATCCACCTGACTCAGCCTCACAAAGTGCTGAGAATACAGATGTGAGCCATCACACCTGGTGTTTTGGTAATTTTGCTTCGATCTCATGCATAGTTGCTTGCAGCAAAAGAGCCAGCAATTAATCAACACATCACAGATATACACAACTAAATTTCAAAGAGGAATATATTTCCCAGATCAAGTAAGTTTCCATGGAAAACTATTAACAAAGACCTTATTCAAGAGGATTGCAGAAAGTGAACTATGCCCAGCGGGATTAGTATCATAATGTGGTACAAAGACAGTGAATAAGATTATATGATTAATGTTTTTTTTAGTTGCAGGTCAGCTTTTATTGCTTATACCATGTACAGTGCCCCACTCAAACTTGAATGTCAGTGAGGCAGTCAGGATTTGGAGGAAGGCCCAGCAAGAACAATCAGGACACAAGGACAGAATCCTGAATTTGTCCATGGTGCTTTATGATCTTTCACAAGGTAACTGCGAAATGGTCAGTGTAGAGAGCATATGTTCTGTCATAAATTATACATTTGAACCAATATTATTACCTTAAATATATCTGTTCTTACTCTAAATAGTTAAATAAACTGTATTCAAGATTTAAAGTTGGATCCAAAGACTCTTTAATGTTACAAAGAAATATGAAGTTACCTTAAGTTAAAATTATTTAGTGCATATTGAAATAACTACAGCCATCAACAGTGGCTCATGCCTGTAATCTCAGCACTTTGGGAGGCCAAGGCAGGTGGATCACGAGGTCAGGAGATCGAGGCCATCCTGGCTATGGTGAAACCCTGTCTCCACTAAAAATACAAAAAATTAGCTAGGAGTGGTTGCAAAGACCTGTAGTCCCAGCTACTTGGGAGGCTGAGGCAGAGAATGGTGTGAACCTGGGAGGCCAAGCTTGCAGTGAGCCGAGATCGCACCACTGCAGTGTAGCCTGGGTACAGAGCATGAGACTCCATCTCAAAAAAAAGAAGGAAGAAAGAAAGAAGGAAAGAAGGAAGGAAGGAAGGAAAGAAAGAAAGAAAATTAGAAAGAAAGAAAGAGAAAGAAAGAAGAAAGGAAGAAACGAACTACAAATACCTCCCAAAATTCTTCTTAATATTGACATAAATAATGTTATATCAGGAGTATATTTTAATATATGCCTCAATAAAGATCTCTCTCCATTAGAAGCCTTTAGGAGAGAAGGAATCATTGCGTATCAATCACATGAATACAACCAGAGACAGACTTACATTTGCTTTGAAAAGTGTGCTCTTTAACAGTTTTCATTGTAGGTAATGAATATCTGACAGTAGGGAACAAATTTTGTAATTCCTAAATACATGACTAGTAGTATCATTTTTATATATAAGATATTGATTTTCATTCATCAAGGATTATTCATGAACCTACCTTAATTGTAATTACCAACCCAAAAAAGTTGAAATTACACTGTACCTAAAAATACAAACACTATCCTACTGAAGTTAAGCACGCTATCATGCTGAGGTTGGGTTGCCATCTTTTCCTCTGAAACCACAAAAAGGTTCTGCATGTTATTGCCTTCAACATATGCACTTGCTAGTTTCTGTTACCATTGTTAAAAGTAGACTCATTTGACAATCTTTTTTTTTTAAATATTTTCCATCCTAGAAAGCTTATTAGTTTTACTTTACACAACCATTCAACACATACTGCTACTAAATAGATGATTTGTCACCAAATAATGGAATCCGTAATTTGTAGAAAGAACAGAAACCTAGGCTCCAGGAATCCCAAAGTAGAACTCCTCTGAGGAGTTTTACTAATTTGGAGCTCTGCCATAGTTTATTAGTGAAGAAGAGATCCATAAAACTTTGTGGGAGGTACTGCATCCATGACATTGTGTCTAGCAAGAATAAAGGATACTCAAGATACATACTAGTTTCACTTATTTCACATTTATACCCATGAATCCGTGACAAAACTCTTCAAAATGTTATGGATCAGCTACCCACAAGATAGGAAGAATAAGATATGACTATACACTGTGTTCCAGACATTATGGATTTAATCCTCAAACACATCCAAATTAATACAGTTGGAGTAATGGCTACCCACTTCAGGGTAAAACAAAATGCATTGTAAACCTTAACGTTTTAGTTAAAATGTAAATATAGTATTAACCATTATTGTTCATGCTATCTTTTAACCTCATTGCAATGAAGAGAATACTGGATGATATGCAGACCATCACTCTCCTACCTTTTGAGTAAAATTATAAAGGATGATTTATTGCATATTCTTGTAGAAGCAAATTAATTTTCACAACTTTTCTAGGTTTCTCATTACCAACTGATGACTTCTTATAAAGAAATAGAAGACAGTTCTGCTGAATTAAAACATAATGTTTCATTTGGCCTCAAATTTCTGTCTTCTGTTTTAACTGAGGCCTTATTTGAGAATATTCAAGATAAGCCTGGTATGTTTTTGTTTCATTTTGTTTTGTTTTAAGTAGGCACTATGGAGCCAGAAAAAGGTACCTTGCTGCTGAGTTAAAGTTAACAGAGTCTATACTTGTCTTACAGAATATCCAGGGGGGCAGATTGGCTAGGAAAGCAGGGCCATGGTCAAGAGCCATTAAAGTGTTCCCATCGGGGTGCCTTAATAACAGCTGAGGCATTAGAGGGATTCCCTCTAGAGTCATCAGTTTTGATTTTTTAAGACTTTCCCCCACAATGTTGACATATAGAGAGACACAAAGCTAGGGAAGTAATAATTCTACTCTACTTACTGTAAGTGCTGGTGTAAAATCACCAGTCTCAAAAGCCATTTGTAAATACAGGATACATCTGACTAAAGAGCTTTCCTTTTAGGAAATATGCTATATTATCAAAAGGAGGAATTTTGTAAAATGATACTATAGTTTAAACTCAGGGTACTGGTTCTTCCAAAGTTTTTACAATTATAGATTGAAATTATGATGGTTTGTTTTATTCCAACTTATTAAAAGTCCAGTTATTCCCTCTACCACCCCCAAAAATGTATTCTAAAAACTGAAACAAAGTGATGGTACTCTTTTGGAAAAGTCCATCCCCACATCTCTGCCCATCCCAAACCAAGATTTATTTTGACAAAAATAGTTTTAATGGTACCTCACTGATGGCGATGAATGTATTGAGTTGTAATTTTGTAAAGATTTATGAAGTTCCAATTAGATTCATCACTGCAGTTAGAAAAGCAGTCTCATCTACATTGTTGAAAAAGAAAGTTCTTCCTAGAAAGTGGAGGTGGCTGGCAAAGTCCAATTGGAAAAGCATTCAGAAGACAAGAAGGTGAATTAGTGAATGGAAAGAGATGTTGAACGAAAATGAATGCAAATTTTTGATGACAAACTGTGTGTAAATCATAGGTTATGTATAATTCTAAAGACAGAGGATTGATGGCCCTACAACAATCTTAGTGCCAGAGTAAAATGAAAATAGACACGTGCCACTGGGGTGTTTCCTAAAATACAAAGTTCCCCCCCAAAAAAATAAACATAGAAACAATAAACTGAGCAACTGAGAGTGAATAAGAGACTGACAGTCAATAAGACTATCTGGAACTCACTGAAGAAATAAAGGCATAAACAGAAAAAATGAACCATGTTTAAAAAGCTGCAGGAATATGATCAGGTCATGCCATACGGTGCAAGCTGGGTTTGACTGATTCAGTTGAAGTCAGAACCTACGAATAATATATGGATAACAGAGATCCACTTCCATTTACACTTCCTGCATAGCACACATTTTGGCTTTTTTATTTAATGAAATAATACAGTAACAGAGTTCATGCTGATGACAAGCTCTAAGTTATCTTTAGCTTTTTATGGCCCCCTTTTCCCTTCCTTCCTTCCTTCCTTCCCTTCTTCTTTCCTCATTTTAAATTAGAAGTCCAATTGAACCATGCCTTATGCTTATTTTGACCTAACATACAGGCTATAAAATGTTACTGATTGGACCGTAATGTCAGGTGGCCAATGAAAAGCACTGAATAATTCAACCTGATTTAGTTTGTCTTTGATTTGAAACTTTAGACCGTGAAATGGTATCATCTCCAGCGCCCTGAGTAGGAGTCTTTCCACCACAGAAATAGGTGATAATTAATTTATTTAACCACTCAGTTTTGAAATCTTCAAGAATTTAGTTGAAATAAAGACAGTGTAGACTACAAATAAAATGAGCTAAGACTTTAAGATCAAGCAGAGGTAAGGCACTAAAAATTTTGAATTGGTAAAGCTGATGTTATGTTACTAATTTTCTCTGAGAAAATGACATGGAGCAAGATTTGAGACCATCGAAAAACAAACAAAAAAATATACTTAATTGAATTTAAAAGAAGTTAGATGACTTCAAATTGATTTAAAGATATTTAAAAATCTATGTCTGATTTCACAAAATTAAATTGAATGTTTTAAAATAAAATAAAGTTGTTTTGAGTTTTAAAGTGATACAACCATACCCATGCATTATTTTTGTTAATTAATGGAAAAGAACACAAGTTTTACCTGTTGACATAGTGGCAATATAATAAAAAAGAGCACGCAACTCAAATTTTTCTACACATACACAGGCATTCTAAGTGACATAGTGGGTTAATTCTATGTAAAGTGCATAAAATATTTGTCTTGTGTCTTGTTTTTTTCTTTTTTTAAAATTTTATTATTATTATACTTTTAAGTTTTAGGGTATATGTGCACAACGTGCAGGGTTGTTACATATGTATACATGTGCCATATTGGTGTGCTGCACCCATTAACTCGTCATTTAGCATTAGGTATATCTCCTAATGCTATCTCTCCCCTCTCTCCCCACCCCACAACAGTCCCCGGTGTGTGATGTTCCCCTTCCTGTGTCCATGTGTTCTCATTGTTCAATTAGCACCTATGAGTGAGAACATGCGGTGTTTGGTTTTTGTCCTTGCGATAGTTTGCTGAGAATGATCGTTTCCAGTTTCATCCATGTCCCTATAAAGGACATGAACTCATCAATTTTTATGGCTGCATAGTATTCCATGGTGTATATGAGCCATATTTTCTTGATCCAGTCTATCGTTTTTGGACATTTGGGTTGGTTCCAAGTCTTTGCTATTGTGAATAGTGCCACAATAAACATACCTGTGCATGTGTCTTTATAGCAGCATGATTTATACTCCTTTGGGTATATACCCAGTAATGGGATGGCTGGGTCAAATGGTATTTCTAGTTCTAGATCCCTGAGGAAATGCCACACTGACTTCCACAATGGTCGAACTAGTTTACAGTCCCACCAACGGTGTAAAAGTGTTCCTATTTCTCCACATCCTCTCCAGCACCTGTTGTTTCCTGACTTTTTCTTTTTCTGTTTTTTTTTTTTTTTTTTTTTTTTTTTTTGAGAGGGAGTCTAGCACTGTCGCCCAGGCTGGAGTGCAGCCGCACGATCTCCACTCACTGCAAGCTCCACCTCCCGGGTTCACACCACACCATTCTCCTGGCTCAGCCTCTCGTGTAGCTGGGACTATAGGTGCTAGCCACCAAGCCCGGCTAATTTTTTTGTAGTTTAAGTAGAAACGGGGTTTCACCGTGTTAGCCAGGATGGTATCAATCTCCTGACTTCGTGATCTGCCCGCCCGCCTCAGCCTTTCACAGTGCTGGGATTACAGGCATGAGCCACCGTGCCTGGCTCGGTTCCTGACTTTTAATGATCACAATTCTAACTGCTGTGAGATGGTATCTCAGTGTGGTTTTGATTTGCATTTCTGTGATGGCCAGTGATGATGAGCATTTTTTCATGTGTTTTTTGGCTGCATAAATGTCTTCTTTTGAGAAGTGTCTCTTCATATCCTTCACCCACTTTTGGATGGGGTTGTTTGTTTTTTTCTTGTAAACTTGTTTGTGTTCATTGTAGATTCTGGATGTTAGCCCTTTGTCAGATGAGTAGGTTGCAAAAATTTTCTCCCATTCTGTAGGTTGCCTGTTCACTCTGATAGTAGTTTCTTTTGCTGTGCAGAAGCTCTTTAGTTTAATTAGATCCTATTTGTCAATTTGGCTTTTGTTGCCATTGCTTTTGGTGTTTTAGACATGAAGTCCTTGCTCATGCCTATGTCCTGAAAGGTATTGCCTAGGTTTTCTTCTAGGGTTTTTATGGTTTTACATCTAACATGTAAGTCTTTAATCCATGTTGAATTAATTTTTGTATAAGGTGTAAGTAAGGGATCCAGTTTCAGCTTTCTACATATGGCTAGCCAATTTTCCCAGCACCACTTGTTAAATAGGGAATCTTTTCCCCATTTCTTGTTTTTGTCAGGTTTGTCAAAGATCAGATAGTTGTAGATATGCGGCATTATTTCTGAGGGCTCTGTTCTATTCCATTGGTCTATATCTCTGTTTTGGTACCAGTACCATGCTGTTTTGGTTACTGTAGCCTTGTGGCATAGTTTGAAGTCAGGTAGCGTGATGCCTCCAGCTTTGTTCTTTTGGCTTAGGATTGACTTGGCGATGCAGGCTCTTTTTTGGTTCCATATGAACTTTAAAGTAGTTTTTACCAATTCTCTGAAGAAAGTCATTGGTAGTTTGATGGGGATGGCATTGAATCTATAAATTACCTTAGGCAGTATGGCCCTTTTCATGATATTGATTCTTCCTACCCATGAACATGG
The DNA here is from genome assembly GCF_000001405.40 of Homo sapiens. Classification (NCBI taxonomy): domain Eukaryota; kingdom Metazoa; phylum Chordata; class Mammalia; order Primates; family Hominidae; genus Homo; species Homo sapiens. The sequence goes on along the minus strand of NC_000024.10, from coordinate 8,957,372 downwards.
AATGTTCTTCCATTGGTGTATATCCTCTTTTATTTCATTGAGTTTGTAGTTCTCCTTGAAGAGGTGCTTCACATCCCTCGTAGGTTGGATTCCTAGGTATTTTATTCTCTTTGAACCAATTGTGAATTGGAATTCACTCATGATTTGGCTGTCTGTTATTTGTGTATAAGAATGCTTGTGAATTTTGCACATTGATTTTGTATTCTGAGACTTTGCTGAATTTGCTTATCAGCTTAAGGAGATTTTGGGCTGAGACAATGGGGTTTTCTAGATATACAATCATGTCATCTGCAAACAGGGACAATTTGACTTCCTCTTTTCCTGATTGAATACCCTTTATTTCCTTCTCCTGCCTGATTGCCCTTGCCAGAACTTCCAACACTATGTTGAATAGGAGTGGTGAGAGAGGGCATCCCTGTCTTGTGCCAGTTTTCAAAGGGAATGCTTGCACTTTTTGCCCTTTCAGTACAATATTGGCTGTGGGATTGTCATAGATAGCTCTTATTATTTTGAGACACGTCCCATCACTACCTAATTTATTGAGAATTTTTAGTATGAAGGGTTGTTGAATTTTGTCAAATGCCTTTTCTGCATCTATTGAGATAATCATGTGGTTTTTGTGTTTGGTTCTGTTTATATGCTGGATTACATTTATTGATTTGCATATGTTGAACGAGCTTTGCATCCCAGGGATGAAGCCCACTTGATCATGGTGAATAAGCTTTTTGATGTGCTGCTGGATTCGGTTTGCCAATATTTTATTGAGGATTTTTACATCAATGTTCATCAAGGATATTTGTCTAAAATTCTCTTTTTTGATTGCGTCTCTGCCAGGCTTTGGTATCAGCATGATGCTGGCTTCATAAAATGAGTTAGGGAGGATTCCCTCTTTTTCTATTGATTGGAATAGTTTCAGAAGGAATGGTACCAGTTCCTCCTTGTACCTCTGGTAGAATTCGGCTGTGAATCCATCTGGTCCTGGACTTTTTTTGGTTGGTAAGCTATTGAGTATTGCCTCAATTTCAGAGTCTGTTATTGGTCTATTCAGAGATTCAACTTCTTCCTGGTTTAGTCTTGGGAGGATGTATGTGTCGAGGAATTTATCCATTTCTTCTAGATTTTCTAGTTTATTTGCATAGAGGTGTTTATAGTATTCTCTGATCATAGTTTGTATTTCTGTGGGATCAGTGGTGATAGCCCCATTATCATTTTTTATGACATCTATTTGATTCTTCTCTCTTTTCTTCTTTATAGTCTTGCTAGCTGTCTATCAATTTTGTTGATCTTTTCAAAAAACCAGCTCCTGGATTCATTAATTTTTTGAAGGGTTTTTTGTTTTTCTTTAAAAATAAAGAATAAATACAGGCAGAATAACAACTAACCAAAATTAAATTAACATTTTTTTTAACAGAAATAGAGAATAAGTCTGCACGATGTCATTGGGAAATCCATTAGGGCTAAACTTAAATGAATATACATAAGATGCTAAGAGATATGTCTTAAAGCAGTATTTGCAAAGTAAGTACACTGTTTTCAGATAATTTACATTTGATACATTGGGCTGAGTGCGAGGATGGCCACTGCTTCTCCCTGCACTGATCCTCTGTCACAGGCTATGAGAGTGGTAGTGAAAATTAGATAATAGGTATGATATAGAACATTCAGATTGAGTGCAAGATAATACACATTTGCAGACATCAGGTAGAGTACAAAAGTTCCACATTGGCTGTAACTATTGTTTTTTTGAAAAAAAAATTTAATGCTGGGAGAAATAAGCTATACCATTACAGATCTGAGACATCTGGAGAGGGAATCTCATTATATGCCACAAGTCTTGACAGCTGGGACTTCACTCATAGCTCATGAAAACATTCCCCTGTGGTGACTACAGTCACCAATACTATACCGTATACTTAACAAACTTGCTTAGAGAGTAGAGCTTTATTGTTCTCCTCCAAAACAAACAAACAAAAACACCCTAAATAGATACCAAATATAATGAAATTATCTTAAAGGGTACTAGAAATAATGACAAATTTCCTATACCTGAATGGCATTTCCACTAGCAAGAAGTTTCTAAAAAGCAACAATTAAACATAAACAAGCAGGGTTTTGTCAAGCCATAATCTAAAATAATATATTTTTAAAAACTACAGTTAAAATGTGAGTATTGAAATAAAGATACTTTATGATATACAAAATTGAAAGGATGTAGTACAAACAGTTTGTTTGCTGAAATAATTTCTTAAGGTTAAGTTTCAGGAAAGTGGAAATTTCACACAAAAGGGAAAATTCAAGAAGATGAGTAAAGAAATTAATAAGGAGGAACATATCCCTAAGCTAGAAATAACAATGTAAATGGTAACATAAACACTGAGTAATTAAGTATGTAGGTAAGGTGCGCCTAAAATTCTAACCAATATGATTAGAATTTAATTACAATTGATAGAATTTATGAGAACAAACAAAATTATGAGCCATATAAAAATAAATGGTATAAAAAAACACAAAAATTTTCAAGGAAAAGTACTAAATTTTATTGAAGGGCATCATAAATGGAAGTCAAAATATACATAAAAATGTGTGCTAGGCAATTGTTAAAATATCTTCACATGATAAGAAGTCTCTTTCTATATTAATATATAAATTAATTAATACATAACTTCAGGCAATAATAATAAAAATTACAGCAAGATGCTTGTATGTTGACAAGCTAATTCTAAATACAGAATTGAAAAGGGATGGGACTCATCTAGGCGAATTTGCAGTAAGCGTGGGAAAACAATGGTATTGAAGAGGAAGATGGAAAAGAGGACTTATTTATTTATTTATTTATTTATTTATTTATTTATTTATTTATTTTTGAGAAGGAGTTTTGCTTTTGTTGCCCAGGCTGGAGTGTTGTCACCCAATCTCAGCTCACTGCACCTCCACCTTCTGGTTTCAAGTGACACTCCTGCCTCAGCCTGCCGAGTAACTGGGTTTTGTCTGCCACAATGCCTGGCTTGTTTTTGTAATTTTAGTAGAGACTTAGTTTCACCATGTTGGCCAGGCTGTTCTCGAACTCCTGACCTTGTGATCCATTCCCCTTGGCCACCCAGAGTGGTGGGTTTACAGGCATGAGCCACCGCGTCCGGCTGAGGACTCTGCTTAATAGTGAACACTTCCATACAGCTGTTTCTAAATATTATAGTATGTAAAAATCTATTGCAAATAGAAGTAACCTGGAAGTAAATACACTATTATGACAGAAGTTGCAGTCTAAGCAATGCTGAAGTAATGCACTATTCAATAATATCCTAAGAAGAAAATTGAAGGCAAAATGGACTAAACACATTTGTTAAACACATATAAAAATAAATCTTTATGTCATGATATACAGAAGACCCCATGGACAATGATTTTAAAAATACATGTAAAAACCAAAGCTGCCAAATTGCTAGAAGAAAATATTAGAGAATAGTTTATAATATCAGAAAAATACTGTTAATAAGGTTTAAAAGGCTTTAATAAAAAATAAAAATTTTAACCAGGTGTGGAGGCTCAGGCTTGTAATCACAGGACTTTGGGAGGCTGAGATGGGTGGATCACGAGGTCAAGAGATCAAGACCATCCTGGCCAACATAGTGAAACCTGTCTCTAATGGTTAGTAAGGATTATTTTAATTATATTACATTTCATCCTCCAAACGTGTTTCCCTCTACAGTATTCCACTATTTCAGAAATTCACAGCACTATATATGTTGTATTTCAAGCTAGAAATGTAGAGGATGATCCTTGAGGTAGCCTCTTCTTGATGGGTCTTCATCCTTCACATCCAACACTTCACAGGCTGTGTGTCCTCCCTGAAAATTTTTCTCGGTAAATAAAGACTTGCCCCTTAACAATCTTCAATCATCCAATTTCTTTTTTAATTCACATCAGTTTCTTTACAGAACAGCTGGAACTCTTCAAAGTCAATGTTGGAGTAAGTACCATTTTGTGCCAGTATTACTGTTTTCTTTATCACAATATAAATGTTCCTTAAAAAAATGCCCACACGAAGCTATACTAAGTAACAAAGTTAAATGATGACTTTGTTTTACAGAAAAGCACAAGGCAAACAGGATCTATTATTATTATATTATCTTTATAACTCTACACACAGGTACAAGATATTTTAGACCCCACTTCATACTTCTGAAATTTGGCTCTCAAAATAGTTAGCATATCTTAAAGTCTAATGTCAGATTACAGAATTGCCTCTTTCCACAGTATTGTGTTATCTCGCTTTAAGGACCATCTGGGAAATCATTAAGAATAAAAAATGTCCTTTTCTCAAACATCACCCATGTGAGCCAAAAATCTAAATTTGCTGTGGAGATGTTGTCTTGTGCAATTTCACAAAAACTTTTACAACTTTAGCCACAGCTATGCTTCAGTGGCATACCTGTTTATCCAATACCTGCACACCGCTTTAATAGAGAAAAATTTTGAGGTTAATACAACTATTAACTCAACATTATAAACACTGACATCTGAAGACACTTTCCAATCTCCCATGAATATGTGAAATTCAAAATGTCAGCACATTCTCCAAAATGTAAATGTAATCTTAGTAGCAGTGGATCATTTACGGAAGGTAATTTTGCCACAGTGGTCAAATATTTTTGTTAAATACTGCTATTTTATATCTATCCATAGCATTAACTGACACACAGTGTATAGCAAGAACCATGTTCCTAAAGAAAATGTTCAGAAATAGGTTTCTTACTTTTTGCTAAATTGCAAACTAGCAGGTTAATTACTCCTGTGAAGTGCTACATAGATGGAGTAGTATTTACCAAGAATGAGAAAGAAGACAGGGGCATATGACTTGAGAAGTAGGGAGTGAGGAGACTGTAAGGTATGTATTCCTGACTTGATGTTCTTTGTTTGATTGTTTTCTTTCCATTGCTGTTGTTGTTGTTGTTTTATTTTATGTGTCAGACCAGAGTTTCACAAATATCCGCAAATAATTATGTGGGTCATAAAATATATATCCTGATATTTCTCATTATTTTGCTTCAAAATCCTGGTTCAATCATTTGAGATGAGACCTGGAAAACCAGCAATTCTAACAAATATGCTAAGTGATTGTTACCAAAATGACAATTGTGAAATATTTAGAAAACCATGCAGGAGATAGGTAATCAACATTTAATAATTGGTTCTTACTATAAGGGTAAAGTATTTTGTTGAATTGACTATTTAAATGCAAATTTTATTAAAAAGATAGAATTGAGCACTTCAGTGCTTTCTAATTGGTATCTTTAAAGTATGTTTTGCTAAAGTTTCAAAATTATTTTTTTCATTAGAAGTTAACATTATGGCCACAAATGACTTCTGAGTTAGCTTTTTGAAAATCTTCAGATCTTAAATTTTAAAAATTATATTGGGGGTTTATAAAACTTCAGAAAATCAATAAGAAAAACATACATAAAATTACCAGTGTCCAAAAAACTCAAAATAACTAGAAAAGAAAATATAAAGACAATCTAGCCCAGTAGAAGAAAGCAGGACAGGTAAATACATTTTAGAAAAGAAGAAAGTCAAATGACCAATGAAAAATGGCTAGATGCTTGAGCTCATTTGTAATCCAGGGATATAAATCAAAACCACATTACATTCCAACTTTTGTTAATTTGCTTGGCCACTATTAAAATAACACCGAGTGTAGTCAAGGATGTAAGGAATGGTAATTTGGTTCCATCAATCACAAGTCCCACTATCTAATGATATTCAGTAAAATTAAGGTGAATAAAATATTTATTGTTCCCTAGGAAACTTTCTTTAGAATAAAAGAGTACTAACATATGCAAAATTATTTAATATTTATTATGTTATTTCCTTACAGGCAATTTCTTTTACTATATCAATGGACCTATGAAATAGGTACCTTCCAACTATTTTTGGAAATGAAATCCCTTCAAAAATTTAAATCTACAATTATATAGCCTGAGGCAAAACAGAAAAAATAACTTCTTTATATTTATTATTGAAATATTACAAATAAGAGACAGAATAATAATTCTAGAACATATTTATAAGTATTAATCTGTTTCTTAACAAAATTATCTGTAGTTCTTTTCTGGAAAATGCATTTGTTTGAATATTATATTGATTTTTAAATAAAGTTACTTGTAAGCTTTTCCAAAGTTTACTTATCTTTGTCACCAATAAATTTTATCAACAATGTTTAGCTTTTCAAGTGAACTTTAAAAAAATTATCATATTATTCAATGTTCTCTTTTTTTCTGACACAATAATATTTCAACAGCATTACTTCGGTTCCAATGATTGATTAAAAATTCAAACCATTTTTTAATCCAATTTTATGTTTGAAACATCTAAATGGCATTATTCAACTCTTTTAGAATTTCTTCGGTAGCTAATGGAGCTAATATATTAAAATTACTGATGCATATTTCTTAAGTGCAGAAAAATTAGAATTAAAAAATGTACACAATTGATTTTAAAATATAGTAATTTGTTGTAAATAAAAAGCCAACAATCTCAGAATTATATGTTTAGTTTTCCATATTCACATATTAAATCTGTGAAAATGTGATCTTCAGGCATAGTTTTCTTGATGTAACTAAGTATTACCTTTTGAAGTAGCAGCTGGTTTTTCCTCTCAGCCTTCTATATTCTGGATTTCCGGATATCACTTTTAGCCTGTGGTCCCAATCACAGAATACAAGGCTTAATGATTACACCATGTGTTTATAGGTATGTTTCAACCCATAATTTGATTGGAAAGGAAATTGAGTTGTTTTTAATTAAATATCTACTTGCATTTTTTAGTCATTGCTGCTGAAGCAGATTTTTAAAAAAATCATTAGAAAATAGCCCATAAATAAATAGTTGTAGGTATATGAGAGATGACAAAACCCCTGTGGCCAGACCAGTTACTACTCTGCCTGTGCTAAGCTTCTATTTCTAGCACATAATTTACATATATCTAGCTCATTGTTTCCTTCATTTTCCCCAAACCCACCATATGATGATCTGGCAGTGTCACATAAGTGAACCATATAGAAAAAACAAACAAACAAAAAACTATGTTAAATACTTCTTCCATCACCAGGCAAGGTTGGAAGAAGCTAGCCATTACTAGCCAATACTGACTCAGCGTATATTGATTTATTGTCAAGCATTCTGCTGCAAGCTGTACTTGAAAAAGAAGCATTAACTATGTTTTGTATAAACTGTTAGGAAAATAAAGTTGATTTTCACACTTATCCCCCAACTCAAGTCATCATTCTGTTAATATTTTATTTTCCTCACATACTGATAGAGCCCTGACAATAGCTATAATTATTAAACAAAATGAACATTTAACAAACACATGCTGGTTCTAACCAATGTAACTTATAATAATACTTCATTAAAAATGAAAAATCTAAGACATATGTTAAGCCAGTTAGCAGGGATTAACAACAATAATAAAGTGGTAGTCCTGGGAGCTAATAAGAATATTTCATCCCCTCAAAATTAAAACTGTATGCACACTGCAGTCCAGCCATTCTTCTAGTATACTCATTAGAAACTCTCATACATGTGTACCCAGAGGCACAGGGAAGGTTTTTCATTGGAGCATTTCAATAAGCACATCATGGAACATGATAAAATTCAGTAGATTGAGAACTATGCCATCAATAATGGCAGCTCTCAATAAGAATGTTAACAAAAAAATGTGAACTAATACACACCTTATATATTCACATAAACATTAAAAGCTCATGAAACACCAGTATTATTTAGAAATACATATCTTAATGTATAAAAATATAAAGGTAAAACCAGGCTCATGATAATGGCGACTCTGGAAATAGAGAAAGGCAAATGAACCTGATGGGATGTATTCCAATTAGAACCAGAGGTAATTTAAATAGAACAAAGAATGCAATAATAGCTGTTATTTTTAAGTGGGGTTAAATTAGTATTTATTATATTATTTCGTATTTGCATATATATTTTGATTTTACTCAAAAACAAAATAATTTTATAATGAACAATATTCCATATAAATTGGAATCATCTTGTGAAGTACTTGCTTTAAAATTTCCCTGTCCCCATTGCCGCTTTGAAAGAATTTTAAAAAAGTAAAAATTGGATAATGTGGTATCTTTCAAAGAAAAACATTTTACATTTATAAGTATGAAATAACAAGATTGCTGAATAGGAACAGCTCTAGTCTACAGCTCCCAACATGAGTGACACAGAAAACAGGTGATGTTTGCATTTCCAAATGATGTACCAGGTTCATCTCACCGGGGCTTGTTGGACAGTGGGTGCAGGACAGTGAGTGCACTGCACCAAGTGTGAGGCAAAGCAGGGCTAGGCATTACCTCACCCAGGAAGTGCAAGGGGCCAGGGAATTCCCTTTCCTAGCTAAGCAAAGCTGTGACAGATGGCACCTGGAAAATCAAGTCACTCCCACCTTAATACCACAGTTTTCCAATGGTCTTAGCAAACGGCAAACCAGGAGATTATATCCCACACATAGTTTTGAGAGTCCCATGCCCACAGAACCTCACTCATTGCTAGCACAGCAGTCTGAGATCAAACAGCAAGGTGGCAGCGAGGCTAGAGGAGGGGTACCTACCATTGCTGAGGCTTGAGTAGGTAGACAAAGTTGCCAGGAAGCTCAAACTGTGTGGAGCCCACTGCAGCTCAAGGAGTCCTGCCTGCTTCTGTAGACTCTACCTCTTGGGGCAGGACATAGTGAAACAAAAGGCAGCAGAAACCTCAGCAGACTTAAACGTCTCTGTCTGACAGCTTTGAAGAGAGTAGTGGTTCTCCCAGCATGGAGTTTGAGAATTGACAACGGACAGACTGCCTCCTCAAGTGGGTCCCTGACCCAAGAGTAGCCTAACTGGGAGGCATCACCCAGTAGGGGCAGACTGACACCTCACACAGCCAGGTACCCCTTGGAGATGAAGCTTCCAGAGGAACGATCAGGCAGCAACACTTGCTGTTCAGCAATATTCGCTGTTCTGAAGCCTCTGCTGCTGGTAACCAGGAAAACAGTGTCTGGAGTGGACCTCCAGCAAACTCCAACAGACCTGCAGCAGAGGGTCCTGACTGGTAGAAGGAAAACAAACAACAGAAATGGCATCCACACCAAAACCCTATGTGTACATCACCATCATCAAAGACCAAAGGTAGAACCACAAAAATGGAGAAAAAAAACAGAGAAGAAAAGCTGAAAATTGTAAAATTCAAAGCATCTCTCCCCCTCCAAAGGAATGCAGCTCCTCACCAGCAATGAAACTAAGCTGGATAGAGAATGACTTTGATGAGTTGAGAGAAGAAGACTTCAGATGATCAAACTTCTCTGAGCTACAGGAGGAAGTTTGAAAGCATCACAAAGAAGCTAAAAACCTTGAAAAAAGATTAGATGAATGGTTAACTAGAATAACCAATGTAGAGAAGTCCTTAAATGATCTGATGGAGCTGAAAACCATGGCACAAGTACTACATGATTAATATACAAGCTTCAATAGTCGATTTGATCAACAGGAAGAAAGTCTATCAGTGATTGAAGATAAAATGAATGAAATGAAGTGAGAAGAGAAGTTTACAGAAAAAAGAGTAAAAAGAAATAAACAAAGCCTCTAAGAAATATGGGACTATGTGAAAAGACCAAATCTACATCTGATTGGTGTACCTGAAAGTGATGGGGAGAATGGAACCAAGTTGGAAAACACTCTGCCGGATATTATCCAGGAAAATTTCCCCAAACTAGCAAGGCAGGGCAACATTCAAATTCACAAAATACAGAGAATGCCACAAAGATACTCCTTGAGAAAAGCAACTCCAAGACACATAATTGTCAGATTCACCAAAGTGGAAATGAAGGAAAAAATGTTAAGGGCAGCCAGAGAGAAAGGTCAGGTTACCCACAAAGGGAAGCCCATCAGACTAACAGCTGATCTCTTGGCAGAAACTCTACAAGCCAGTAGGGAGTGGGGGCCAATATTCAACTTTCTTAAAGAAAAGAATTTTCTACCCAGAATTTCATATCCAGCCAAACTAAGCTTCATAAGTGAAGGAGAAATAAAATCCTTTACAGACAAGCGAATGCTGAGAGATTTTGTCACCAGCAGGCCTGCCCTACAAGAGCTCCGGAAGGAAGCACTAAACATGGAAAGGAATGACCAGTACCAGCTACTGCAAAAACATGCCAAATTGTAAAGACCATTGATGCTAGGAAGAAACTGCATCAGGTAACAAGCAAAATAACCAGCTAATATCATAATGACAGGATAAAATTCACATATAACAATATTAACTTTAAATGTAAATGGGTTACATGCTCCAATTAAAAGACACAGACTGGCAAATTGGATAAAGAGTCAAGACCCATCAGGATGCTGTATTCAGGGGACCCATCTCACGTGCAGAGACACACATAGACTCAAAGTAAAGGGATGGAGGAAGATCTGCCAAGCAAATGGAAAACAAAAAAAAGGCATGGGTTGCAATCCTAGTCTCTGATAAAACAGACTTTAAACCAACAAAGACCAGAAGATACAAAGAAGGCCATTACATAACGGTAAAGGGATCAATTCAACAAGAAGAGCTAACTACCTTAAATATATATACACCCAATACAGTAGCACCCAGATTCATAAAGCAAATCCTTAGAGACTTACAAAGAGATTTAGACTCCCACATAATAATAATGGGAGACTTTAACACCCCACTGTCAACATTAGACAGATCAACATGACAGAAAGTTAACAAGGATATCCAGGAATTGAACTCAGCTCTGCACCAAGCAGACCTAATAGACATCTACAGAACTCTCCAACCCAAATCAACAGAATATACATTCTTCTCAGCACCACATAGCACTTATTCCAAAATTGACCACTCTGTTGGAAGTAAAGCAATCCTCAGCAAATGTAAAAGAATAGAAATTATAACATACTGTCTCTCAGACCACAGTGCAATCAAACTAGAACTCAGGATTAAGAATCTCACTCAAAACTTCTCAGCTACATGGAAACTGAACAACCTGCTCCTGAATGACTACTGGGTAAACAACAAAACGAAGTCAGACATAAATGTTCTTTGAAACCAATGAGAACAAAGACACAACATACCAGAATCTCTGGGACACATTTAAAGCAGTGTGTAGAGGGAAATGCATAGCACTAAATGCCCACAAGAGAAAGCAGGAGAGATCTAAAATTGACACCCTAACATCACAATTAGAAGAACTAGAGAAACAAGAGCAAATACATTCAAAAGCTAGCAGAAGGCAAGAAATAACTAAGATCAGAGCATAACTGAAAGGGATAGAGACACAAAAAAACCCTTCAAAAAATCAATGAATCCAGGAGCTGGTTTTTTGAGAAGATCAACAGAATTGATAGACCACTAGGAAGACTAATAAAGAAGAAAAGAGAAAGAATCAAGTAGATGCGATAAAAAATGATAAAGGAGATATCACCACTGATCCCACAGAAATAGAAACTACTGTCAGAGAATACTATAAACACCTCTACAAAAATAAACTAGAAAATCTGGAAGAAATGGATAAATTCCTAGACACATACTGTCTCCCAAGACCAAACAAGGAAGAAGTTGAATCTCTGAATAGACCAAAAACAGGCTCTGAAATTGAGGCAATAATTAATAGCTTACCAACCAAAAAAATGTCCAGGACCAGATGGATTCACAGCCGAATTCTACCAGAGGTACAAGGAGGAGCTGGTACCATTCCTTCTGAAACTATTCCAATCAATAGAAAAAGAGGGAATCCTCCTTAACTCATTTTATGAGGCCAGCATCATCCTGACACAAAAGCCTGGCAGAGACCCAACAAAAAAAAGAAAAAATTTAGACCAATATCCCTGATGAACATCAATGTAAAAATCCTCAATAAAGTACTGGCAAACAGAATCCAGCAGCAAATCAAAAAGCTTATCCACTGTGATCAAGTGGGCTTCATCCCTGAATGCAAGGCTGGTTCAACATATGCAAATCAATAAATGTAATCCATCACATAAACAGAACCAAAGACAAAAACCACATGATTATCTCAATAGATGCAGAAAAGGACTTCGACAAAATTCAACAGCACTTAGTGCTAAAAACTCTCAATAAACTAGTTATTGATGGAAGATATTTCAAAGTAATAAGAGTTATTTATGACAACCTCACAGCCAATATCATACTGAATGGGCAAAAAGTGGAAGCATTCCCTTTGAAAACTGGCACAAGAGAGTGATGCCCTCTTTCACCACTCCTATTCAACATAGTGTTGGAAGTTCTGGCCATGGCAATCAGGCAGGAGAAAGAAATAAAAGATATTCAATTAGGAAAAGAGGAAGTCAAATTGTCCCTGTCTGCAAATGACATGACTGTATATCTAGAAAACCCCAGGGTCTCAGCCCAAAATCTGCTTAAGCTGATAAGCAACTTCAGCAAAGTCTCAGAATACAAAATGAATGTGCAAAAATCATAAGCACCCTTATACACCAATAACGCACAAACAGAGAGCAAAATCCTGAGTGAAATCCCATTCACAATTACTTCAAAGCGAATAAAATACCTAGGAATCCAACTTACAAGGGATGCGAAGGACATCTTCAAAGAGAACTACAAACCTATGCTCAACGAAATAAAAGAGGACACAAACACATGGAAGAACATTCCATGATCACGGATAGGAAGAATAAATATTGTGAAAATGGCCATACTGCCCAAGGTCATTTATAGATTCAATGCCATCACCATCAAGCTACCAACGACTTTCTTTCTTCACAGAATTGGAAAAAAACTACTTTCAAGTTCATATGGAACCAAAAAAGAGCCCGTATTGCCAAGTCAATCCTAAGCCAAAAGAACAAAGCTGGAGGCATCACTCTACCTGACTTCAAACTATACTACAAAGCTACAATAGCCAAAACAGCATGGTACTGGTACCAAAGAGATTTATACCAATGGAAGAGAACAGAGACCTCAGAAATAATACCACACATCTACAGCCATCTGATCTTTAACAAACATGACAAAAACAAGAAATAGGGAAAGGATTACCTATTTAATAAATGGTGCTGGGAAAACTTGTTAGCCATACATAGAAAACTGAAACTGGATCCTTTCCTTACACCTTATTCAAAAATTAATTTAAGATGGATTAAAGATTTAAAAGTTATACCTAAAACCATAAAAAACCTAGAAGAAAACCTAGGCAAAACCATTCAGGACATAGGCATGGGCAAGGAGTTCATGACTAAAACGTCAACAGCAATGGCAACAAAAGCCAAAATTGACAAATGGGATCTAATTAAATGAAAGAGCTTCTGCACAGCAAAAGAAATGACCATCAGAGTGAGCAGGCAACCTACAGAATGGGAGAAAATTTTTGCAACCTACTCCTCTGACAAAGGGCTAATATCCAGAATCTACAAAGAACTTAAACAAATTTACAAGAAAAAAACAAACAGCCCCATCAAAAAGTGGGTGAAAGATATGAACAGACACTTCTCAAAAGAAGACATGTATGCAGCCAACAGACACATGAAAAAATGCTCATCATCCCTGGCCATCAGAGAAATGCAAATCAAAACCACAATGAGATACCACCTCACACCAGTTAGAATGGCAATCATTAAAAAGTCAGGAAACAACAGGTGCTGGAGAGGATGTGGAGAAATAGGAACACTTTTACACTGTTGGTGGGACTGTAAACTAGTTCAACCATTGTGGAAGACAGTGTGACGATTCCTCAAGGATCTAGAACTAGAGATACCAATTGACCCAGCCATCCCATTACTAGGTATATACCCAGAAGATTATAATTCATGCTGCTATAAAGACACATGCACAGGTATGTTATATGCAGCAATATTGGCAATAGCAAAGACTTGGAACCAACACAAATGTCCATCAGTGATAGACTGGATTGAGAAAATGTGGCACATATACACCATGGAATACTATGCAGCCATAAAAAAGATGAGTTCCTGTCCTTTGTAGGGACATGCATGAAGCTGGAAACCATCATTCTCAGCAAACTATCACAACGAGAAAAAACTAAACACCACATGTTCTCACGCATAGGTGGGAATTGAACAATGAGAACACTTGGATACAGGAAGGGGAACATCCACACCGGGGCCTGTTGTTTGGTGGGTGGAGGGGGGAGGGATAGCATAAGGAAATATACATAATGTAAATGATGAGATAATGGGTGCAGCATACCAATTTGGCAGATGTATACATATGTAACAAACTTGCACGTTGTGCACATGTACCCTAGAACTTAAGGTATAATAAAAAAAGAGTGAAAAAAAAAGAAATAAAATGTATTACCAGCACTTCACATTTTTTGACTCATTATCCATGTAAATTCATGTAGTAGAATAAGAGAGAAAGACACTGGCAGAATTTGATCTATGAGTAGAGGAAATAATTGTATGTTTATTTAAAATATCTTCTTAAGATATGCAAGTGGACAAGAAACATAAGAAAACTGCTCAACATCACTGATCATCAGAGAAATGCAAATCAAAGTCACAATAAGGTACCATCTCATACCAGTCAGCATGAGTATTATTATTAAAAAAACAAAATTAAAAAACAACATATGTGGGCAAGGCTGTGGAGGAAAAATAATACTTATACACTGCTGGAGAGAATGTTCAGCCACTGTGGAAAGCAGTTTGTGGATTTCTAAAAGAACTAACAATAGAGCTAGTATTTCACCCAGCAATCCCATTACTGTGTATATGCTCAAATGAAAATAAATTATTAAAGCTACCAAAAAGACACAAGAATTCTCATATTCACCACCATAGCAAAGACATAGAATAAACCTAGGAGCACATCCATGGAGGATGGGACAATGACAATGTGGTACATATGAACCCTGGAATAGTACACAGCCATTAAAAGAACAAAATCATGTCACTTGCAGCAATGTGGATACAGCTGGAGGTCATTAACCTAAGCAAAATAATGGAGAAACAGAAAATCAAATATTGAATATTCTCATACATAGGAGATAAAACTTGGGTGCACAGAAAAATAAAGATGAGAACTATAGACACTGGAGACTCCAAAGGGAGACAGGCAGGGCCTGAAAACCTTCCTGTTGAGTACTAGATTCACTCTCTGGGTGATGGGATCAATAGAAGACTAAATGTCAGCATCATGCAATATACTTTCTAACAAGCCTGCACATGTACTCTCTGAATCTATAATAAAAATGAAAATAAAAAATAAAATAAAAATATTCTTAAAGGAAATAATAAATTACATTTTAGAATTGGCATTATTTCAGTCATACGTAATTGAAACATGTTGATAAAATCTATACAAGCTTTACAGAACCAGTGAATACTCTCCTGACTGTCTTTAAAATTATAAAAGATGGGATAGCTACTTTTATGCAAATTAACTAGACTTCAGTTGCACTAATTAACAGAGCAACAGCTGAGTCAATCAAATGATAATAGACAAGTTATAATTGTTGTCAAAATTCTACCTTATTATATATTACCTTTGAAATCATATCCCAAGTTTTCTTCTATTTTGAGAAACATCACTCTACTAATATATAGAA
Organism: Homo sapiens; assembly: GCF_000001405.40. Lineage (NCBI taxonomy): Eukaryota > Metazoa > Chordata > Mammalia > Primates > Hominidae > Homo > Homo sapiens. The sequence goes on along the minus strand of NC_000024.10, from coordinate 8,941,765 downwards.
CAAAGATTAAGTGGATTTGCCTGATTTCAATACAGGACATTTCATCTTCAAATATGATAAGAACTTTCCAATTCATAAAACCCTGTTAGAGAAAACGACAGTTTTCAGGCTAGACACACATTTCACAGAGCCCATATTGTTACAAATCACTTATGCCTCACTCTCATGTTACCATGATAATGCATAGCACATACACAGTGTTTCTTAGCTTGAAAGAGCCTAGGAACTTAGACTAATTAATCCTTAGACTACCCAGTGAGAGAGTGATAAGAAGACCCTCGAAGAGATTATTTAACTATATAATTCACAATTGCTTAAATATAATTCGGCTTTTGTGCCATGTTGTTTTCCTAGCTTTCTATTTCAATCTTCAGAGAAATAATATTTATTAGTGAATATATGATGGATAGGCATCTACTATGAATAAAATTATGTAGACTGCACTCTGTCTGCCACTAAAAACTAACAGATATATGTACATCCAACACCGAACACATAACATCTGGTACATTCTGCTGTATTTTCTTTTCTTATTCATTTCATATCTTATTTTCAGGTATTTCAGAGTGGACTTGTTAGATTTGAATAGGCTAAAATTTTTAAAGGAGGAATATACAATTATCTTGCTAATTTTTGTAATTGCTTTATTTTTTCCAATGTATTAAAATTAACTTTTATAATTATGCTGAATGTAAAATAATATCATATGTGAATGCTTCACCTACATGAAAGAATATTTGATATTCAATTTAAAATTCTCTCTACAAGGATTTCCTTCTCTGCTGACTATAGGGTAGCTGACTATAGGGTCTACCAAAAACAATCTATTTCTGCAGTATAGGCCAACACTGGCTTACTCAGGAGAGAACTCTTTCAGTTGCAAACCACAGTATATCTTTTCCCTGAGCAGAATAAATTCTTATCCAGTTTTACTGTTGCACTAAAAATTCAATTAAAGTTAATCATTTCCTTTTTCATTACAAAGAAAATCTGCTTAATTTTTAATTACTTGTGCTAAATCTATTCCCTATAAGTATCTAAAATTACATAGACACATATCCACACATGCAAAAGAAATGGTATACCTGGAAGACCAAACAATATATACATATGATTTAAAAAAAAAAAACTTTTCTACTCTATTTTCATTATGGATTACAGCTCCAATTCAATCAATGACCTATTTTAAATGAGTGCCTAAGACACCACTAGACAAAGTATATACAATGCAAGAAACAATTCACTTAATAAAGGCATACACTTTATTTGTAAATACATTTATACTGTATAGTTAAAATGGTTAATTTTGTTGTCAAAGACTGATACTGGCTGAATTTTTCTTTCTTAATATATGTGTCTGATTTGTCGTTTTGTATCCTACAATCCCTTTATGCTATATCTAAGACTTAAAATATTTCATTACATTGGATATTGGTATTTAGTGGGAGTGTGGTGTGGGGGGGCATGCATTTGCTGTCTGGGGGATCTTATCTAAAGAAGGAAGTCAATAGCAGGCAGCCGAGTGGGCAGTGGTCCAGTCCAGTGAGACATGCTTAAGTTTCTCAAGAATTCTCAGATGTATTTGAAGGAAATGAAACAGGTTTACCAATGCTCTTTTTAAAAAATCAGCTAAAGAACAACCTATAGTGTCCTGAGAAGAAAAATGAGCAAGTCACATAATTAGAGAAGGAAAAACAAAAAGTGATTGCAGCAGAATAGAAAATTTCAGGCAGCAAACATGACTAGAAATAACACACTGTTAACGTAGCTGCATAAACCAGAAGCTGATAAGACTGAAAAACCAGAGTGTGGGCAAAGCTGGCTAGCAACAACTGGACCAAACATGGTGTTGGATTTGATCTAGGTGTCACCTTGGAGAAAATAGCAAAAAGGAAGTCACTGCTCCTGTGACCGAAATTGGCAGGTTCTTGGCTCACTGATTTCAAAAATGAAGCCACCAACCCTCGCGGTGAGTGTTACACTTCTTAAATATGCTGTATCCAGAGTTTGTTCCTTCTGATGTTTAGACATGTTCAGAGTTTGTTCCTTCCGGTGGGTTCATGGTCTCACTGGCTTCAGGAGTGAAGCGGCAGACCTTCGTGGTGAGTGTTACAGCTCCTAAGGCAGCGCGTCTGGAGTTGTTCCTTTCTCCCGTCTGGAGTTGTTCATTCCTCCCAGTGGGTTTGTGTTCTCGCTGGCCTCAGGAGTGAAGCTGCAGACCTTCATCGTGAGTGTTACAGCTCATAAAGGCAGTGTGGACCCAAAGAGTGAGCAATTGCAAGATTCATTGCTAAGAGTGAAAGAACAAACCTTCCACAGTGTGGAAGTGGACCCGGTGGCATTGCTGCTGGTGGCTTGGGTAGCCTGCTTTTATTCCCTTATCTGACCCCACCCACATCCTGCTGATTGGCCCATTTTACAGAGAGCTGATTGGTCCACTTTACAGAGAGCTGATTGGTCCAGTTTGACAGGGTGCTGATTTGTGCGTTTACAATCCCTGAGCTATACTCAGTGCTGATTGGTGTATTTACAATCCTCTAGCTAGAGTAAAATTTCTCCAAGTCCCCACTAAATTAACTAGATGCAGAGCACTGACTGGTGCATTTACAAACCTTGAGCTAGACACAGGGTGCTGATTGGTGTGTTTACAAACCTTGAGCTAGACAGAGAGTGCTGATTGTTGTACTTACAATCCTTTAGCTAGACATAAAAGTTCTACAAGTCCCCACTAGATTAGCTAGACACAGAGCAGTGATTGGTGTATTTACAAACCTTGAGCTAGACCCAGAGTGCAGATTGGTGCATATACAATCCTTTAGCTAGATATAAAATTTCTCCAAGTCCCTACCAGGTTAGCTAGATTCAGAGTGCTGATTGGTGCATCCACAAACCCCAAGCTAGACACAGGGTGCTGATTGGTGCATATACAATCCTCCACTAGACATAAAAGTTCTCCAAGTCCCCACCCAACTCAGGAGCCCAGCTGGCTTCACCTAGTGGATCCTGCGCCAGGGCCACAGGCAGAACTACCCACCAGTCCGGTGCCACATGCCTGCACTCCTCAGCCCTTGGGCAGTCGATTGGACCAGGTGTCATGGAGGAGGGGTGGCACCCATCCGGGAGTCTTTGGTGGTGTTGCAGCCCACCATGGAGGGGGGCTCAGGCATGGCGGGCTGCAGGTCCTGATCCCTGCCCCAGGGGAGGTGACTGAAGCCTGGCAAGAATTCGAGCATGGTGCAGGTGGGGCAGCAGTGCTGGGAGACCCAGCACCCCCTCTGCAGCTGCTGGCCCAGGTGCTACACCCCTCACTGCCCCCCAGTGTGGCAGGCTGACTGCTCTGAGTGCAGGCCCAGCAAACCCACACCCAGCCAGAACTCATGCTGGCCCTCGAGCACTGGGCAGGTCTCTGGTTCCTGCCAGCGCTTCTCCCTCCACAACTCCCCGCAAGCAGAGGGAGTCGGCTCCAGCCTTGGCCAGCCCAGATAGGGGCTCCCACAGTGCAGCAGTGGGTGAAGGGCTCCTCAAGCATGGTCAGAGCAGAGGCCAAGGTGGAGGAGGCACAGAGAGTGAGCAAGGGCTGCCAGCACGTTGTCACCTCTCACTACTACCATGCAGCTCTGCTACTACCATGCAGCAGAGCAACTGATCAAAGGCAGCAACTGCCTAACTATGACTGGTTCACATGTGAAAACTGGAAATCTGTGTTTATTTAGTTCATGTTTACTTTTTCTGTTATATGAAGTAAAAACCACTCATTACTGATACAATGTTTCATTTTCCTTCCTTATTCTCCATCATTTATTTTTTCTCACATTATAGTTTGTAACTTATTTTGTCAAATATATCCAATGAGGTAACACTGCAGTATTGCAGAAAGCACACTGCATTGGAAACAGACTGATATTGAAATGTCCCTTATCCCCTTCTGTGAAGCTAGCAATGAGGACAGGTTGTGGGGCACCTACCCCAGGCAGCATCTAGGGGTGAATGTTTACAGCTCCTGAATCCCCAGCGGGCATGTGTTACACGGTGTTAATTTAGTTTATCAATCTGTAGGCGGCTTGTGTTAGCTCAATTTTACACCCTTCCTTACTGCAAAGACAGAAGGCTTTCTGGGTCCTGGGGGTTTCCTGCTTTGTTGTAGCTGAAGAATTGGCTCACATGTGGGCTTGGAGAATAAGTGCAAGGTTTCATTGAGTGAAAGCTGTCAGCAGATGAATGGGGGAGCCAGAAGGGAGATGGAGCCGGAAGGTGGTTTTACCTTGGAATGGGGCAGGTCAGTGGTCTCCTCCCACAGCCCCACAAAACTCCGTGTTCTTCTGCGGTGGATGGCCTGCCGCCTCTGTCCTTGTGCTCTCCTTCCTCCGGTGTCCTCTCGACGTCCAGTTGCTGTGTCTTCTTCTGCTGATGGTTCTTCTTGATGTCCATCTACTCTGTCTCTGCCCACTAGGGTCTCGGGGTTTCTGATAGCATAGGATGCGGGTATGGCAGGCCAGGGTGGTCTTGAAAAATGCAACAGGTGGGCAAAAAAACAGAACTGCATGCCCTCACCAATTTGAGCAAGAAAACAGAAAGGCATGTCCTTACATATGTCAGTGAGCACAGGCCTGAGGGTGGATCCCCTAGCCAAGAACCACCCCATCCTCTACCAGACACTTCCCTGCCCCCATTCTATATCAATATTTTTTTTAAATTTAAAACTCCGAAATAGTACCCAAATCCTTCAGAGAAGACAATTGCAGAAAATAGCATTAGAAGAGCCAGTCTAGGTTTAGGGTCACTACATGGAAAATGGAAACACAGAGAGCATTCCTGCAGGCATGGAATCACTGTGGAAACATACCTCCTGCTTGGAAGGAAAGTGACACAAACTGGCTTCTCTCATCTTCTTGTTCTCTAATCTCTGCAGTGTTACCACTTGATTGAGCTGAAACAGGAAGTAATTTTTATGAGAGCCCAGGAACCATGCCTCTCAGGGGCCAGGCCACTGTATCATAGAATAGTGCCAGGAAGAGGTGAGTGATGTAGCTGTTGGCATAAAAACCCAGGACCTCACACAAAGGAGTATCAGAGATAAATATAGTATCAAGGGATCAAGAGAGAAATAGTTTCAGGAACGATACATACATGATATTTGTGAAAAGACCAAAAAATAAAACAGAGCTTATGAGGTAGTAAACATAACAAGAACTTAAAGAAAAGCAGGCAAAATTGTAAAGTCCAGGGTGTTTACCTTTCCTTCAGATGATTTTGAAAATCCCTTCCAGCATCCTTTTCCCAATATCTTCCATTCATGGATTCATTCAAGAAATATTTATTGAGCTAGTATGGTCTAAGAATTGGGCAGATGGCATCATATGCACTGTTAGTACACATCTATCATTGATAGAAAGAATGTTTCTTTTTTTCTACAGTGTTTATCTCCCAAACATTTCTCTTGCAAATCTGTATCCTTACAGATGCTTCAACTGTTCCTGACCTAAGCTTTCCAAACTCCTGAAAACCTAGTTAAGAACTTCCTTCCTGTCCAACTAAGTTACTGAATTGTATCTATTGTAACACTTCTCAGAGTACATTGCAATTATTGCTCTTCTCTTCATTCTCCAATTAAACTATGAATATTTTGAAGGAAAAGCCTATAAACACAATTGCTTGACATTTGTCAATATTTATTGTACAAAAGGTTATGAGGTATTTATATATAATATTCTAACAATTATCCTAATTTTTGGAAAACAATATAAACAATGTTCACTGCCCATTCCCCCATGAAGCACTCAACTTCAATGTCTGTGATTTTGAGCAATTACACAAACTTCCAAAAAACAACTGAATGTGTTTTTTATTTTATTTTGTTTCGTTATATTGTATTATTTTGTAGAGACAAAGTCTTGCTCTGTGGGCCAGACTGAAGTGTAGTGTGTGATCACAGATCACTACAACCTTGAACTGCTGAGTAAATAGAACGATAGATGTGTGCCATCATGCCCAATTTAATTAATTAATTAATTAGTTACATTTGTAGAGATAGGACTTGCTATGTTGCCTGGGCTGGTCTTAAACCCTGCGCTTGAAGCAATCCTCCCTTCTCAGCCTCCCAAAGAGCTGCGATTCCAGGCGTGAACCACCAGACCTCAAAGAAAAAATTTTAGACTCTAGAATATTGCAATATATTAGATTTAATTTCTTCTTTTGATTTTGCATTTGCAGTGGCATTTGAGAATAATTGTATGTTATGGTGAGAATACGATTTTTCATATTTGGTCACCAAATTTTGAAATCTTTATTCTGTTTACTTAAACCCTAGTAACTGATAGTCAACTCAGCCAAAAGTCAAGTACATGGGTGTTTTTGTGTTGTGGTTATGAAGACAAATGTAGAGAGATATTAAGAACCAAAAGCATTTATTTTTTATATATGCTAAAGCTTTATCCTTGCAGGTGAGGCATCATACATGGCATGGATAGTTTTATAAAATATCCTGAAATACATACTTTAGTAACCAGTTCAGCCCTTGCAATTTCCCAACTTTGTTTTCATCTGGAGATAATGACGTATGGCACTTCTAGTAAGTAAATGAATGTTTAAATTGCTGTGAGTTATTTTAATCATTGCTCAGCTAATCATTTAAGTTATCAAAGATCTTTACTTGTGCAATATCATAAATGCTGGACATTAAAAATTAATCAACAGGATTTATGTAACTAAAAGTTGCCATGTAATGTGGTATTTTTCAGTAAGGTGACAGTAGTAATTATGACAAAACATAGTCATTCCCATAGTTTGAGCAATTATAGCAATTTCCACCCTACAATTTCACAGTCAGAGTCCAGATCTGGGCAACAGTGATTAACATAATGGTGATTAATCAGAAGATATTTTGATACATCTAGCCATGCTTGGATGTCAGTGCCTTGAAGGTACAGGTTTGGCACATTAATAAGAAAGGGTGCATTGGACTGGATACTAAGAAACATATTGAATTGTTTTTCTTGTCCTCCACAACATGAAAGGTCAATTACAGATATAGAAACAATGGAACATTTCACAGCATGGTCTGACATTTCACTGCACTTTTATTATTTAACCATGTACAAAGTTTATTAAATATGCAAAAGTAGGACTACTATAGGATGAAAGTGGTGGAGTCAGAGGTCACAATCCACAGCAAGATGACAGCCACTTGTGGATGGCACCTTGAGCACTGAATTAGAGTAAGAATTAGCTTTCAGGCTGCCAACAGGGATGAAGGAGAATGAAGCTATCAGCAGTTAACATTATTGGATTAATTGAAATGAATGTTGACACAGATTTTGTTGGCTTTACCAACAAAATTTTATCAAATTGAGTGTAGTACTTGAAATTGGGTATAGTACTTCAAATTGAGTATTTGATAAGGATAAACTCTTATCAAATTTCCCACATGGAAAATTAAGGATGAATTGAAAGATTACACAACCCATACATTATGGGTACCTCATTTAAATTTATATACACATATGGAAACTTGCAGGGTGCAAATATTTGTCTATATCTTAATACATCCAAATCCACTAATGAACAGTTAGAAATTCAGAAATTATTCTCCCATTTTACCATTCCCTTTCCTAGAATTTTGTCACAAATATAATTTTTCCATTTATTTGAAGGCTACCCTCTGGAGTCATGTAATGTATGGTTACAGTAAAACTGTGAGATCAAAAAGGATGTATATCAGAGAAAAAAATACCACTGGTGTTATAAAAGAACCATTGTGAGGAGAAAGTTATACTTCACATGACTACAAATACAGAAGTATTATTTCATTGAAAGCTGATATCAGTCAACACAATTTGTTTTTAATGTTTTATTTAAAATATTTAATCTCAAAATGATTACTCAAGTAGAATAATGTTATTGGTAATAAATAATGATTAAGAATTTTCTTTAATTTATTGAGTATTAAAATATCAGTAAAATAGTAAAATGTACTGTATAATGTAGTTTCATGAAATATTCTCTATGGTTTTTATAAAATTAATAGCCTCAATAGAGTTTTTTGACACAGAGACATTTCCTTATATCATTTTATTATTATACTTTCACTTTATTACTTGCTTGCATGTCATAACTGATAGAAATAAATATATTCTATTTACAAATATATGAAGCATGAATTTTTGTTTATGTTTTCTAGTGAGAGAAAGTCACCAATAATTTTACCTATACAGGAAAATTTTGACAAGCCTGAAGCTCTCAACTTTCTTTTCTTTCGAAGGTTCTTATTTCAGTCTAGGTATGAGATGGAATTGACTGTGATCATTTTTGGATTTCACTATGAGTACTGAGTTTCTGATCTAGTGTTACAAATATACAGACTTAAAAGCTTGCTGTTTTCTTCTTTTTCTTCTTCTTGTTCTTCTTCTTCTTCTTCTTCTTCTTCTTCCTTCCTTCCTTCCTTCCTTCTTCCTTCTTTCTTCCTCTTCCTCCTCCTCCTCCTCCTCCTTCTTCTTCTCCTTCTTCTTCTCCTTCTCCTTCTCCTCTTCCATCTCATCCTCCTCCTCCTGCCCTGCCCCCCAACTTTGGACCTGTACGTGTGATACTTGCAGTAATGTGCACCATTATCTGAAATGAGGTTGCTGAAAGATACAAGCATAAATGGAATTCTTTATTTCTGTGAAGCTTTAGGAACAGACAAATAACAATGAAAAATAATTATGATATGAACTTAAATCCGCAGTTTTTCACAGAAGCACAATAAGGGTGAAAATGCATTTAAAAATAAATGCCAAAACATGAGGTAGAAATGAAAAATTTACTGTGACATAAAGAACAATTTAATAGTTATGATTATTTCTGGTGAGAGCAAGTAGCACTAAAAATCCTATATTCCCTGTTGTGGTGCATGAAACTATTACTGTATCTTCAGGCTTTAAAAATAGTTAACTCTAACTTAAGCAACAACTTTAAGACCATTTCAAACAGTGGGTGCATCAGCTTAGTATTTCTCTGAGAATCTTTTGGGAGAAATAGAATCTAATCTAGCTTTATAAACAAATTTATCAATGAAATTATTACTACTGTAGTCTCACAATTTCATTGTCCTTCTTTTTTTGGTCTATACATATCTCTTTAAAATTCAAAAGCTGCTAGAAAACATATGATAAATAATAAAGACTGATACAGTTGAAAAATAAAAACTGAGCAGCAGATATGTTTCAAGGTTTTCTTTATGAGAATGCTACACTAACCATGTAATATACACATGGTATAAATCACTGTGAGAAAATAATATTTGGTTAGCACTTGACAGTTTATCCAGTAACAGCAAATATTCTCATTTGACCTTCAAAAGGATTTAAAACATGTGTTTCATAAATGAGGCAATTGTGATTTAGTAATACAAATCAGACCTGTCACATCTCCTTAGGAACATGTCAGCCAATAAAGCAGAGGCATGAGTTTTCTTCTGGTGGGAAGAAGAAGGCAATGTTTATTAAAATCATGCATTTTTTTTTAACATTTTGTCATTTATTAATGTTTTGTTTATCAAAATTGTTGCCCTTATTTTGTTATATTTCCTGTATTTGCCTATTAAAGCAGTTACAGCACTTATTATTCCTCATTTATCTCTGTGCCTGTAACAACTGCATACTCAGAAGAGCAAGGACCGTGTTGTTCTTAGCTTCTTGCTGACTGCCAGGCTTATTTTGGCATTTAGAAACTATCTGCTGAATGTTTGTGACATTTTCATGTAAATTACATTCTAGGTCACTTGATACTAATTTTCTATTTAGTATTTAGGTTTGGAGAGCTATTTTTCCTTTTGAGTTTTTTTTTCCTTTTTTAATTATACTTTAAGTTCTAGGGCACATGTGCAGAACGTGCATGTTTGCTACATAGGGATACATGTCACATGTTGGTTTGCTGCACCCATCAACTCATCATTTACATTAGGTATTTCTGCTAATGCTATCCCTCCCCCAGGCCCCCACTCCCAAACTGGGCCGGATGTGTGATGTTCCCAGCCCTGTGTCCATGTGTTCTCATTGTTCAACTCCCACTTATGAGAGAGAACATGCGGTGTTTGGTTTTCTGCCCTTGTGGTAGTTTGCTTAGTATGATGGTTTTCAGCTTCATCAATGGCCCTGCAACCACGATGAGATACCATCTCATGCCAGTTAGAATGGCGACCATTAAAAAGTCAGGAAACAACAGATGTTGGAGAGGATGTGGAGAAATGGGAATGCCTTTAAGTTATTGTTTTATGTATATTTTAAGGATACACATATCTGGATGTGGAGGGGAAAGTACAGGTCGTAGTCAGTGGGACCTCCAAAGGAGGCACCCCGTTGAATTTGGAGGCTCTGCAGGAGAGGCCAGCCAGGGCACAGAGTGTGGAGGTGCCCTCGTGGGAGGAGAAGGTGCTGGTGATGGATGACATCATGGCGGTGGTCCAGGTGTTGGTCAAAGAGAAGGCCAACATGGAGCTGCAGGTAGAGGACAGGTGGACACAGCCTGGCCCTGGCCCTGGCCCTGGCCCCAGGACTCGCCAGCCAGCAGCAGACTCGCTGGAGGTCCTTCACTCAGAGCTGGGCTCTGTGAATGGCCCAGGCCTCATGGCCTGCCTGAGGCTGAGGCAGAAGCTTTGGCAGAGGCGCCTGCCCAGCCTGGACAGAACAGGTGCCATCAGCCAGGGCATCTCTGGCTTCTGGGCCAGAGCATATCCTTGCAGCTGCCCATTTGGGATGATTGGCAGCAGTGGGTTGGCATCAGGCTTCTGGGGGTGGGGAGCACGGGAACCAGGACAGAGGCACACAGAGTCAGCCAGGAGGCAGGGAATGGGGGACAGCGAGGGGAGCTGAGGCTAGGCTCCAGCAGATAGTAAGACAGCTTGCTTGTGGGTACCCTGAGAGCATGTGACAGGGACTGGGAGCCAAGCTCAGCACTCACAAGAGAGAATAGTGGTGCCAAGGACCCTTCAGGCATAGCAGCAAGTTGAAGGGCAGGTTTCCCTGGGAAAGTCCTTGAAGGAAGGGGAGTCTGCATGCCCATGCCAGCCATGGAACGACACCTACTCCCCGTGTGTGTGTCCAGAGGCCTCACACCAGAATCACAAGTTGCTCAAGACTCAGGTTCACGATGCAGGGGGCTGCTGTCCTCTGCAAGGCAAACACCAGCTACCCAGACAGGCTTTCTTTCCTCTGCCTCTGCTGCACCCAAAGAGCTGTAGGACCTGAGCACATATAACCTCTGTTGCACACACTCCTCCACTGCACACACACAAGCCCCATAAGGAGTGACAGGCACAGCCTTGCAGTCCCTTCTACCCACACAAGTTCCCTCAAGTGGACACACCCACCCCTCAGGGAGACCAGGAGAAGAGGGGACCACACACCTTGACACCCTCAGCAGAGCCTGTCTAGCACCTATGTGCCGCTCAGCTCAGGAAATCTGAAGAAACAGCTGCCTTACACCACAGCACCCCATACCCAATCCCTTGCCTACTTGTGCTCCCCCGCTCCTTGTTGGCAGAAGCTTTCTGGGCCTCCCTCTACCCGCCCACAAGACCACCACATCTGCTACAGTGCCCCCACGCTGGACAGAGACAGGACCACCAATGCAGAGTGCCAGGTCAAAGGTCTGGGGGATAGCCCTGCCCAACAGTCTCCCAGCTCTTGCAAAGTTGCAGGATGTTTCCTGGCACACCCATCCAATCATTTGGAGGCTCCTTGAACAGAGGCAGATTGTGCACACACCCAGATATTGGCAGGGTTCAGAAACCATGAGGAAGTCCTGCCAAGTAAGCTACATGATGGATTTGCAGATCAGTCTGGGGTACCTGGGTCTGGGGGAGGGATGGAGGGTCCTGGTCAGGTTGAGGCCCTCCTGGGGTCCAGGAGTGTCTCAGTGGGAGAGCTGGGAAGGGGAAATGCATGCTTCATCCTAGCTAGCAGGCCCTCAGCCTAGCAAGATGAAATGATCCCTTTGAGTCTGTTCTCTTCTTCTTGGACTGGCAGGTGAAGAAACAGCCATCCAGGGTACTGGCGGCAGGACAAAGTTTTCCTTTTGTCACAACCTTTATTTCTGCAATGAAGTGATCATTAAGGAGTATCAGGTTGGCATCCTCTGTAAGGAGTGCCTATTGGCATGGCAGCGGGGGTGGAGTGTGGGAGGCTATGCCTGGCATGAGCCTTCCCAACTCCTCTTGCTCCAGGATACAGGATGTCTGGCATGACGTAGCCCAGTGGTTCTAGAGTCATGTAGCAGAAGCCCCCAGCTTCAGGCAGGACACAGCCTAACTGAGCTTCTTCAGCTGGTTGGCTGACCGTGATCACTCAAAGTCAGTCAGGATTGCTGAGGTGGGTGCCGCTGAGGGGTGTCATATTAAAGGACATTGCTGGTCTTTCCTTGGCATCTGGGGAACTGGCTTTGAACCATGACCTGAGCAGTCATGGACCCCATTCCCCAGTCCCCCCAATTATCATTCAGGGCCTCTGTCTCAATCCCCTGCAGCACTACTGGAAGGAGTTAGGCCCTCAGAGAGGGAACAGAGAGGAGGCCAGGTAAGCAGCCCAGGGCAGGGGGTTCAGAGCCCTGTGGGTCCTGGAGCTGGGACACACATGGAGAACTCAAAGCTCAGGGAGGAGCCTGCCCTGAGAAATCCCAGGCCATCCCTGGGCTGGGGGAGAAGAACCCATCAGGGAAATGTAACACTCATATTTCAGAACTGGGGCACCCGAAGCCACCTAAGAGGCAGAAGTGGCGAAGGTCAATGGGTGAGAAGCAATCTCAATGGATAGTGGCCACATGATCCTTCCCTGGCTCCCTTCAGCGCCTTGATACCTGCTACCACCTGGGGCTCAGTTTGGCCTCCACTAGGGCCCTTTTACCCTCCACAGAGAGGTGCACATGAGGCACGCCTAGGTCTACATACTTCTAGAATGGCTATCCCAGTCGTGTCATGTTTTGTTTCAATGACCCCAGCCTCCCCTGACATGCTTTCTCCCCTCTGCCATCCTCACTCATGCTTCCCCGGCCCCTGAGACATCTCCTGTGACATTAAAAAATAGACATAAAGTTTGTAAAATGCCTTAATATAGATGCAGATACAGCATTTTATTATAAAAAGTGCTCTTCCTCCTTACTTGTATCAAAGTCTTTTTCATGATGGGGGAAAGAATGCAACATACTTTGGTAAGTTAAAAAAGTATAAAAGTAAAAATAAATCCCTTTATAGATGATCAATTAAATGACAGGGGACCTTCTGTGTGTGTGTAGTGAAGGAATGTGGCTGAGCATTAAGGTCCACTTTAGTATTGGTGTAGACAGCCAGTTTCAATCGTACCAGTGTGAGTGTGGAGATGTTCCAGCCTGCGTGTCTGAGCTGTGCCTGTGTGTGCACACCTGTGGCTGTGTACCACTGTGTACCTTGGTTTAGGGGGGCCCACACTCCTGCCAGAGGTGTGCCTCAAACTCAGCTCTTGAGCTGGCAAGCAGGGCACTGCCAGGTTTGGCAATCCAACTTCAGGACCCATGAAGTCTGAACTCTTGGGAGATGGGAAGAGTCCTCATAGTTTTCACAAATGGCAGAGGTAGGAGGAAATGGGTGGCAGATGCAAGCTACCTAGAGGAGATGTCATGGACCTGAAATGACACCTGGAGGGAAATAAAACCTAGCAGCTGTATGTGTCTTCCTGTGTGTTTGGTCGGGGAAGGCAGGTATTCAGAGAAGAAGCAATTGAACCCGTGGAGCTTTGGGATTTGCTATTCAGGAATCCCTATGCACCAGAGCATGTCCAGCCCATGAGAGAGGACAGCATGTGGGTCCGGCAGGGCCTGAGTCTCAAGGAGGCTGGCATTCTCCCCAGGAGGGTGCGGGTCGGTAAGTGGAGGAGAAACCTGGGCTGCGGGGTCATGTAGATGGGACACTTATCATTTAGCCAGGTGGGAGCTCAGGAGAGGGCCTGGTGAGCAGTGGCCTAACTGGCTGGTGACACCCCGTTCCAGTGCAGCATGTGCGCACATGAGCTTCACCTCACATATCCTCTCCAGGATGTGTCACCTGGGTGGATTGGAAGCAAGGCACACAAGATCCTAAGCTTATGGTCATGAGTGGTCCTAGAGAGGGGTCCGCAGGATCACTGTTCCCAGGAGAGCCAGGCATGCAGAGTCTCTTCAGGACAGGGATAAAATGCATAAGCCCAGCTCTCCACCCAGTGGGTGTCTTGTCCTGATGATGTCAGCCATGGCAGATACAGCTCTTCCACCTAGATTGCAGATCCACAGGCTTACAATGTCCCCCTGGCCTTCTCTGGGACAGGCCCCTGGACTCTGGAACAGCCAGTGCCCCATGACTGTTCCTTCTCTGCCTCCAAGCTCACGGGAGGCTCAGTGAGGACTCTCCTCCTAGTACATGGCCACCCGCAGACACTGTCAACAACCCAGGGCCCTTCTACATTCCAGGGTCCTGCCACCTTACCCAGCTGTGGGATAATGGGAAGGTAAAGAGCGGGAACAGACAGAGCAGGGGCCACAAGCCTCACCCTCCCACATGGCAAGGGAATGAGGGGATCCTTCCCAGCCCAGGGAGCTGCTTCCTGAACACACCTGGAAACCCAGCACCAGCTGAGTGATTCACTCTGCCACAGCTGGGCATGGGGGATTTCAATGTGTGCCAGAGACCTTGATCCTGGTCATACCAGGTGTACTCTCCTTCAGGTCACATTTGGCTGACATCCTCCTTAACCTGGGTGGACTCCTCATCCTCACCACATGGTGTTGGCTGGAAGTGTTACTCCTGGTTCCCCAGCCGCTGTTTCAAGGTGCAGAGACTGACCAGCAGACCCCTGAGTCCTTGTCCTCCTGTCCAAATAATATCCATAGAAATAGTAAAATAGTGGCACATTAGACTTCATGACATTTTTCAGGCTGACCTCTTTGTAAGCATTTCATCCAGATATTTATGAGTTTATCTCATTTATTTATTTATAGTTCTCATTTCTAAATCAATTTTTCCTTGAGAGTTATTTCAACATATAACCAAATGTTCGGAGCTATGACATTTAGGTTTTAAGCTTAAAAGTCTGTATCTGCTATTATGTTGGGTAAAACCCATCCAGCACTTATAAAAATAAGTAATTATTAGTCATGGCCACTGTAGTGGTCTAAAACACTGAAATTCTTTGCAAACCCATTTGAAAATATTCCTGATGGGACTGAACACAGTACTTGCTTCTAATGAATAGAAAACAGTGCAAGCATTTTCTGGATACTGGGCCACCCCTGGCCTAGGTTAGAAAAGGTGACACAGCTCTGCCTAAGTCTCCTGCTTTCATGAGGACAAACCCCCCAGGAGCCCTGGACCAGTACATCATGAAGTCGAACACCCTAATAACACTATGCAGAAGGGACATCCCATGGAGAGACTCATAGAAATAGAAGGAGATGCCCAAGGATCTCAGCAGTACAGCCCCCGCTATTTGAGTCATGCTAGCCATGGCACCAGGGAGATGAGAAGATACCTAACAATGTCCCAGTCCTCAGCCATCACTAGATTGCATCCTTCTGAGTGCCCCTGAACCACAATCACTTGGCTGAGGGACTGGAAGTTTGCAAAGACTGAAGTTAGTAAATTATAATTATTGTTTTAAGCCATTAAGTTTTAGATAATTTTGAAAAGCACTTTAGACTCCTAGAAAAACTGAGTTGTCTACTGATTTGAGTAATTGCAGAGAGCTTTAAAGGCCAATGTCACGAATGCTAATACCCTGGAAAAGTCAAACCATCCAGGCTCTTCTAAACACAAACAGATCTTTAATGTCCCCTTGCTATATGGCTGGAGAATAATCTAACATGTATATGATGGAGTTTTTTGAAAGCCTCTGTTCACATCTCTTGGCTGGGTACGGGTCAAATCTGGTCTGCTTTAATACTAGCCAACTGCAGCAACTCATCTTTCATTTTAGGTCCTGGCCTACAATGATTTTTTTGATCACTGACTGTGTCTGTGCATATGTACATATGTTGTGTGTGTTACCATACTTTATCCAAAGAGGCTAAATAATAGTGCTATAGCTGTTTTGTAAACATAAAGCATTCCAGGAAGACAATATTGCTAATCAACTGAGCTTTAAAAGAGATATGAGGCAGGGCATGGAGGCTCACACCTGCACTCCTAGCAGTTTGGCAGGCCAAGGTGAGTGATCTCTTGATCTCAGGAGTTTGAGACAAGCTTGGCCAACACAGCAAAATCCCATGTCTAATATCATACCAAAGCTAGCTGGGTGTGGTGGCCCATGGATACAATCCCAGCTACTTGGGAGGCTGATGCAGGAGAGTCCACTGAACCCTGGGGACAGGGTTTGCAGTGAAGAGATCACACCACTGCACTCCAGACTTGGCACCAGAGCGAGACTCTGTCTAAGAAATAAAAATAAAATAAAATAAAAAATGAGATAAGAGAGATGAGTGAGGAGAGAAATGCGTAACACTTGGTGGGCATTTTGGCTCATGCTGGGAATCCCAGCATTTTGAGGGGCTAAGGTGGGTGGATCACTTGAGGACAGAAGTTCGAGTCCAGCCTGAGCAAACATTGTAAAACCTGGTCTCTACTAAGAATACAATTTAAAAAAAAAAGCCAGGATCGGTGTCATATGCCTGCAGTTGCAGGTACTCAGGAGGGTATGACTGGAGAACTGCTTGAACCCAGGATGGGGAGGTTACAGTGAGATGAGATCATGCTGCTGCACTCCAGCCTAGGTGACAGAGCAAGGTTTTGCCTAAAAAAAAAAAAATCAAAGAGAGAAACAGAGATAGAGGAAAAAAAGAAAGAAGGAAGGGAGGAAGAAAGGAAGAGAAGGAGGGAGGGAGGGAAGGAAGGAGGGAGGGAGGGTGAGCAGGCAGGCAGGCAGGAAGGAAGGCAGGAAGAGAGAAAGAGAGAGGGAGGGAGGGAGAGAAGGAAGGGAGAGAGAGGAAGGAAGGAAGGAAGGAAGGAAAGAAGGAAGGGAGGAAAGGGAGAAAAGAGAGAATGAAAGGCATAAAACCAAAAGGAAATTAATAAAAATAAAAGCTTGTCATTTTGCCCATTATCCACATGAATTTTGAAATGTGTTTCAAATAATATTTCGGTATCTAGTGGACTAACTGAAAGTTTAAAATAAGCTGGTTTATATTTTCAAAATTACTCATGTAACTATGATGTTAATTAAGATTTCTGTAGTTTTAAACAACCAAGTCTAATTGACTTTTGTCATTAAATTGCATACTACTAGCAGCAGGGTAGTCTGTGTTATGCTGCCTAATTTACACTAAATTAAAAATGAAATGAAATCTGCAAAAGATTTTATAGTTACTATTACCAGTAAAGACTGTTTTGTTTCCTGACTTGTGGAGGGTTTTATTTCCACAGTTTTGATGGCTCTGGCAGAAAGACTCCCTGATCCAAATTCACTCTTTATTATCACAGTATATACATGTTCAGAGATCAAGGGGAAAGAGCATCCAATCCTACTGCTTTCCTGCACTGGTTCCCATACACAAGCAAATGTGCTGTGTTAGTGACTATCAAGTATTCATTTATCTGATCAAGGAAATTTGTGTTTCCAAAACTGTAAAACAAAAATATTACTATCAGTTGTATTTTTATTATTTATTTACTTAGAGGCAGGGTCTTGCTCTGTTACCAGGCTGAATCACAGATCACTGTAGTCTCAGACTTTTGGGCTCAGAGGATCCTCCAACATCAGCCTCTCAAAGTACTGAAATTACAGACTTGAGCCATTGTACCCAGCCTCATGTTTAGAGATAAAGGCTAAGAATATATTGTAAACCATATAAATAAATATAATTGCAGGTTCTCTAGAGAGCCGTAAGAAACCACTGAACAACTGCCATTGAGGACAAGGCTGCTGGCGACAATGTAAGGCAAGCAAAGGAATGGGTCCTTCCCCACTGATCCTTTGGAAGACACCAGAGGCCAGCTTGGCATTTCCACTGCAGCTTTTTGAGAAAACATGAAACATAGGTGTGTGCTTTTTTTGAGTGAGTGTGTGTAAGCACACCGGTTGAAAAAACTGGGATCACTCTTACAATGGAATATGATGCAGCTCTTTGTAGATCTGGTAGAATTCATCTGGAATCTGTCGGTTCCTGGGTGTTTTTTTTTTTTTTTGGCTTGTAGGTTATTTATTACTAATGATTCTGGAAGGTCTCTGCACAGATGGGCTAATTTTGTGCCTGCAGCAAGAGGGCCTGGGGCTGACAACCAGATCCCTTGACATCTGCTGTTGAACAGATCATTTAAATCCTGGTCTCTCCTAAGAAAGTTGCACATTGCCCAGAAAGTTTCTCAAGGATTATAGAGTTCCCTGACTAAAGTGGAAGGGCCAGAGCTGAGAGTGGGTCATCCCTATAGGAGACAAAGCCTGGAGAGTCTAGATCCATTTTCTGCTGGACAGAGCCTGGATAGACTGCATTCATCAGCTCAGACAGGCACTTTTCCCAGCAGGGTAGTTGCTTCCCAACAGCAGTGGGAAGGGCTGGAGCTGAGCATGGGATTATCTGTTTCTCAATAAAGTCATGTGCTCTACAGATTCTAATGCCCCAGTGATTTCCATTAGATATATCAGAAGTGAACTTCCTTCTAGGGGTACCAAGACTTATTATATAAGCTACTTGCCCACTGGGTCCAGGTAGGGCCAGAAAATTCATCCTCAACCACTAAATTGCCTCTGCTTTTCAGCCTGGGGATGGGTGGAGAATACAGGGCTAGGATGGTCAAAAGTATGGCAGCTGGGAATGGGTGGGGTCACATGACCCTTCCGTGGATAATCACCAAGCTGCCTCTTTGTCACAGCCTTGGAAGTTTTGCAGAGAAAACCAGGGTGGGATTTGTCAGTTGGCCAGTGATTTGAGCCTGGCAGACCCATCAACCATGGTTGGTTGCTGCAGAATGATGCTGTTGCCTAGTTTTTCTGATGGTGCAACTCTGCTGGCTGGAATGCAAAGCCATGAATAAGATTACTGTTATGGTCACTGTGAGCCCCACCCATGTACTTTGTTTCTAATTGACCGCCATTGTCTGATACCCCCACTGTTTCCCACAGGGTAAGACTAGAGAGAACTTCATGTGACGAATTGCAAAATGGAAAAGAAAGGACAGAATGTACATCTTCAACTCTCTCCTCTGTGAAGAAACTGTGAGTTCAGGGGAATTTTTTGTATGCAACATTGTGCTGGCTTGGGGAGGAGAAAAAGCATCAAATTAAAACTGTTCTTTTATCCTATCTGTGTGGCTATTCTCAGTTCTACAGTTAAAAAAATGTGTCAGAGATCCAATCCCAAGCTATAGAATCATTCACTCAGGTGTCCGTATCTAAGGATAGTTGTGAGTTGAGGTTTTTTGCAGAGACGGTGGGAATTAGCAGAGTCACAGAATGCCTGTTCTGTCGCATCAGACCCTAGAAACAGGCAAGTTAAGTCTGGTCCAGGCTGAGCACAGTAGCGCAGACCTGTAACCCCAGCATTTTGGGAGGCCGAAGCAGGCATATCATGAGGTCAGGAGGTCAAGACCATCCTGGCTAACAAGGTGAAATCCCCTCTCTACTAAACATACAAAACAAAACAAAAATTAGCCAGGCCTGGTGCCATGTGCCTGTTGTCCCAGCTACTACTCAGAAGGTTGAGGCAGGAGTATCTCTTAAACCCAGGAGGTGGAGGTTGAAGTGAGCTGAGATCACGTCACTACACTCCGACCTGGGTGACAGGGTGAAACTCCATCTCAAGAAACAAACAAACAAACAAATAAATACAAACAAAAACAACAACAAAATACTTGTCCTAAGGGAGGAGTTTAAAAGGTTGGGGTGCTTTCACGGAGAAGCTGAAAGCTAGAGCAAGCCAAGGGTTGGATATAAGGAAGCACTCACAGGACCATTGAAAACCACCTCTTTGTCCTCTATGGAACTCAGGAGATAGTAAATGCTGATCTCCACTGCTTACTGATATAGGCAAGTAAGCAGCCAGAGATACATGTCTTAGTCTGTGTTCCTATAAAAGAATATGAGACTGGAAAATTTATAAAGAAAAGATCTTCCATTGGTTCCTGGTTCTGCAGGCTGTAAAAGTTGTGAGGTGCCAGCATCTGTATTTGATGAGAGCCTCATGAGGCTTCCACTCAAGACAGAAGGTAAAAGGAAATAAGGCATGTCACATGTGGAGACAGAAAGAGAGAGAAGGGGAGAAGGTATCAGGCTCTTTTCAACAACTTACTTGGATGTAAGCTGCATTGTGGGAACTAATAGAGCAGAAAACTCACTTATTAAACCATGGCGAGGTCACCAAGCCATTTATGAGGCATCCATCCCCATGACACAAACAAACAGCTCACACTAGGTGCCATTTACAGTGTGGAAGACCACATTTCAACCTAAGGCTTGGAGGGACAAATATCCAAACTATATCGATAGGGAAGTTTAAAGATCATGCAGAGTTTTCATAAAACAATTCTTTTTCCTCTTTAGAATCTTGAGATTACAAAAAACTGGGATTCATTAGCTTCCAGAGATTGGCAAATTAGTATTCAAACTCTTAGGCAGCAACCTGAGAAGTCAGGACAATAGCTGGGTACTCTGACTTCTTGGAAGGAAAATTTAGAAGCTGAGTATATTGCTAGAGTGAGTGATGATGAAGACTGATAAGAAATGCCTTCGTGCCTGCTCTCAGAGGACCTTGAGAGATTCAAAAGTAAGGAGAATTACAAGCAAGATACTTGGGCAGAAGCTATAAAAGTCAAGACATGGCTGGGTGCGGTGGCTCATGCCTGTAATCCCAGCATTTTGGGAGGCCAAGGCAGGTGGATCACCTGCGGTCAGGAGTTTGAGACCAGCCTGACCAACATGGTGAAAACTTGTCTCTACTAAAATATACAAAAGTTAGCCTGGCATGGTGATGGCCACCTGTAATCCCAGCTATTTGGGAGGCTAAAGCAGAGGAATCACTTGAGCCTGGGAGGCAAGAGGTTGCAGTGAGCCAAGATCGTGCCATTGCACTCCAGCCTGGGTGACACAGCAAGACGCCATCTCAAAAGGAAAAAGGAAAAAAAAAAGTCAAGGTGTTAGATGTACAATCTAAGTTCTTCAAGACACAAAGTGGGAGCTGAGCTTTCTTGACTGCTTCAGATCCTGTAAACCAGGAGGAAACAGTTTCAGAAGTGCTTGAATGTCTATTTAAATACCTCTTTTATCTTGGAGGTCCTAGGAGAGTTATGAATGTCAATCTATGTTAGAATCCAGAAACAGGCGAATGAGGAATCATTTCATTGAGAAGAAGCTGTTAACAAGTGGGGCATTACATATGTGGATTAATACTTCAGTCCTCTGAGAGAAGCTGTGAAATAACAGTTCCCTATGGATTCTAGGGCAATGTGTCAGAGATAAACTCTAGAACAAGATCATGATTCAGTTTATCTTACCTCTTTTTAAGTGAATATTTTCATAATCCTATGTGGAAGAGTATCTCAACTAATTTCTGAGTTTATCTCACAGGGAATTGATGTCAGTGTGGCTTATTTTTTGCATTTGTGGATGGAGGAACAAAATAGGGCCTCCTATTTTATCACCTTGTTGGAGATATCATTTTATTGATATTTTACTTATTTAAAAAATTTGTACATAACAGTTGTAGGTATTTTTGGCATACATGTGATATTTTGATACAAGCAATGTGTACTGGTAAGGAAGGGATCAAAGAGGGGATGGGGTTGGGTTAAATTATAGTTACTTAGAAGGAATAAGATCTAGTGTTCAGTAGCACAGGATGAGTACATTTAATAATGATTTATTGTATGTCCCAAAAGAATTAATAGAGTGAAGCTGTAATGTCGCTCATACCAAGAAATGTTATGTCAGATTCATGGCTATAATCACAACATTTTGGGAGGCCAAGTAAGAAGGATCACTTAAGCCTGGGAATTTGAGACCAGCCTGAAAAATCTATCTAAAGCATTGTCCCTACCACACACACACAAACACACACACACACACAAACACAAAAGCTGGGCACAGTGGTGTGTGACTGCAATTCCATCTACTTGGGAGGCTGGAATGGGGCTTGTGCATTTGAACCTAGGAGTTCAAGGCTGCAGTGAGCCTTGACAGTGCCACTGCAGTCCAGGCTGGTCAACAGAGTAAGACACTGTGTCCAAAAAAGAAAAAAGAATTGATAAGTGCATGAAATGAAGGATACCCTATTTATTATTTATATATGTGTTGACTTATATAATTATTTTTGATTTGGAGTCTCGCTTTGTCACCCAAGCTAGAGTGCATGGTGCAATATCAGCTCACTGCAGCCTCAGGCTCCCCAGTTCAAACGATTCTCCTACCTGAGTGCCCCAGTTAACTGTAACATACTACAGGCGTGCACCACCATACCCAGCTAATTTTTATATTTTTGGTAGAGATGGGGATTCATGGTGTTGGCCAGGCTGGTCTTGAACTCCTGACCTAAAATGATCTGCAAGCCTTGGACTCAAAACATGCTGGAAATAAAGACCTGAGCCATCACACCTGGGCAGTAAGATACACAAGACTAGGGAGTTTTATTTTTTCACTTCATCCTCACAATCCTACATTATAGGTGAATGAAAACACAACTTCATAATATGAATAATTCACTTGAAAATCAAAGTTGGCAACTTCTCCCTTTAAAATTATTTGCACCCTTACCCTATAAAAATTAAGATCTTGTGAAAATTTTATCAAGAAAATATTTCCTCATTGCAGATTAGTCTGTTAATTGTAAGAATTATGGACTGTAAAACTTCTGGAATTTCATGTATTTCATTTCTTTAGGTTGTATAATCAGTATAATTGGTGCCCTCTCCCTCTCCCTCTCTTTCCACGGTCTCCCTCTGATGCCTAGCCGAAGCTGGACTGTACTGCTGCCATCTCTGCTCACTGCAACCTCCCTGCCTGATTCTCCTGCCTCAGCCTGCCGAGTGCCTGCGATTGCAGGCGCGCGCCGCCACGCCTGACTGGTTTTCGTATTTTTTTGGTGGAGACAGGGTTTCGCTGTGTTGGTGGGGCTGGTCTCCAGCTTCTAACCGCCAGTGATCTGCCAGCCTCGGCCTCCCGAGGTGCCGGGATTGCAGAGGGAGTCTCCTTCACTCAGTGCTCAATGTTGCCCAGGCTGGAGTGCAGTGGCGTGATCTCAGCTAGCTACAGCCTCCACCTCCCAGCTGCCTGCCTTGGCCTCCCAAGGTACGGAGATTGCAGCCTCTGCCTGGCCGCCACCCCATCTGGGAAGTGAGGAGCATCTCTGCCTGGCCGCCCATCATCTGGGATGTGAGGAGCCCCTCTGCCCGGCTGCCCAGTCTGGGAAGTGGGGAGCGCCTCTTCCCGGCCGCCATCCTGTCTAGGAAGTGAGGAGCGTCTCTGCCCGGCCACCCATCGTCTGAGATGTGGGGAGCGCCTCTGCCCGGCTGCGACCCCGTCTGGGAGGTGAGGAGCGTCTCTGCCCGGCCGCCCCATCTGAGAAGTGGGGAGCCCCCCTCCGCCTGGCAGCCGCCCCATCTGAGAAGTGAGGAGCCCCTCCGCCCGGCAGCCGCCCAGTCTGGGAAGTGAGGAGCGTCTCCGCCCGGCAGCCACCCCGTCCGGGAGGGAGGTTGGGGGTCAGCCCCTGCCCGGCCGCCGCCCCGTCCGGGAAGTGGGGGGCACCTCTCTCCAGCCGCCCCTTCTGGGAAGTGAGGAGCCCCTCTGCCGGCCGCCACCCCGTCTGGGAGGTGTGCCCCGCGGCTCATTGAGAGCGGGCCATGATGACGATGGCGGTTTTGTGGAATAGAAAGGGGGGAAAGGTGGGGAAAAGATGGAGAAATCAGATTGTTGCTGTGTCTGTGTAGAAAGAAGCAGACATGGGAGACTTCATTTTGTTCTGTACTGGGAGGGGTTCTGCTGCCTTGGGATGCTGTTGATCTGTGACCTTGCCCCCAGCCCTGTGCTCTCTGGGGCATGTGCTGTGTCCACTCAGGGTTAAATGGATTAAGGGTGGTGCAAGATGTGCTTTGTTAAACAGATGCTTGAAGGCAGCATGCTCGTTAAGAGTCATCACCACTCCCTAATCTCAAGTACCCAGGGACACAAACACTGCAGAAGGCTGCAGGGTCCTCTGCCTAGGAAAACCAGAGACCTTTGTTCACTTGTTTATCTGCTGACCTTCCCTCCACTATTGTCCTATGACCCTGCCAAATCCCCCTCTGTGAGAAACACCCAAGAATGATCAATTAAAAAAACAAAACAAAACAAAAACAAAAAAAGAAAATAATAATAATAAAATAAATATAAATAAATAAATAAAAAGAAAAATTAATTGGTTTAGTTATTTAAGTCCAAATCTTTTTATTTTTATCATTTGATGATTTATTACACCTTTAAGCAATCCCCTGTCTGAAACGTTATGCTGTGGTTTTACATTTTATACACTTAACTTCCCAAAAGTATGAGGTTTAAAGTGCTTCCATTCATATCATGAATTAAATCTGATAGGCTGAGAGCAGTGGCTCATGCCTGTAATCTTAGAACTTTGGCAGTCGGAGGAGGGTGGATCAGGATTTTAAGAACAGCCTGGCAAACATGGTGAAACGCTGTCTGTACCAAAAATACAAAAAATTAGCCAGCTGTAGTGCACACTTATCTAATACCAGTTATTCAGGAGGCTGAGGCAGGACAAGAGCTTGGACCCAGAAGGTGGAGGTTGCAGTAAGCCAAGATGGAGCCACTGCACCGCAGCTTGGGCGATAAAGTTACACTCCATCTGAAAAAGAAAAAAAAAACTGATGAAATTCCAGCCACTCTAGATTATTCCTATTTGTAACAACTTATTACTAAACCATGACTTACAACAACCATTGTCAAAACTTTCAAGAAAAAAAATAACATGACTACCTTCTAAGACAAAACACTTGCTTTCCACTATTTAAACTACGAACATTTAATTTCATTATGTTATGCACTTGAGAAATTTAGCTGGTTCACTTTTGATTTAGGTAAAAAAAAAAAGTTTTCATTAGCATTATCTCTCTTCAGTCACAGAATGCTTCAAATAGAATGTTCCAGATGTCTTAAACTTTAGTATCAACCACATCTAATTATTTCTTTTGACCTATACTAGTCCTCTAAAAGATAAATTTTGTATAGTGAGGCAGACAGTTTTGTAGTCTTTCTGAAGAGGATGCAAACATTGTAAGCTTGTAAGTTTTTAAAGAGAAACAGCCTAATTCGAAAACTTGTGCAGCTTTCAAGGGAGACATAACATATGCCTAATTTTGTATCTATTTATGTTCAAAGAAACAAAGGAAAACATTCAACAAACAATGCAATTTACTCTCCTATTGAATTTGCTTTTAAGCATGTGCTGTTAAGCAATAACATCAGGCATTTTGGATTACATGTAAAATTTTATTCTGAAAATTTTAATGCAGATATTACATCTAAATAGTTCTTAAAAAGCATTAGCAAGTACGAAATTACTTTGAAAAAAATTCCTCTTCCTTTGAATACCTCAAAAAATTAATGGAGGAAGTTAGTATCTACCTCTCTCCACAAAACCAACAGGTTTCTTTTAGCAAGACACAGGTAACGATGCAGAAATAACATGTCAATTTTCGATTTGAAAACAAGGTTTGGTATGCAATAACTATTATTTTGAATACTTGCTTTAATATCTGCTTCTGGCTCTTTTTTCCAGATCAACTTTCCCCACCATCTCCTGTAGATGCCACATAACTTGAGCTACCACATGTTTCACGAGGAGCAGGGTGCACCCTACCTAGAGAAGGTGGATTCCTTAGGTCTTTTCTGCCAACATGCTCATGACCACAGGAATAAAAATCACCACATCTCCTTGCGTAACTCTCTTGACTTCTGCCGTATCTATCTCATGTATTGTTATAATCATGGCGGCTTCTTCCACCGTAAGACAACTGAGGCCCTCATGCTGGTGGTGCACCATGAGAGGTACCTGCAGGGTTGGTAAAATAATATGTTGGACTACATTTAAACATCATTACAGCTATCACTAAAGCATGAATTAAAGTACTATTTGGAAATATCTACTTTTGTCTGCCTTTGTTGACAGGATATTAATTATGCCTGCAAGAGTCAGAAAGTTTTATTAAAAAGAAGTGTAAGAGTAGTATTTGAAGCTTAACAAATTTAACTCTAAAGTAAACATTGAGTCATATTTTCTGAATGTGTAGTGAAGTTCTCACCTTCATATCATTCCCTGTGCTTTATACTGCTAAGAATGCTCAATATTTAAACATGTTATATTTGTCCTTTATACTTTTCCTTATAATTTCATTAAAATAATGATCTGGTCTATTAAATACAATTCTATAATTTACAAATCCATCCTGGACCCTTACCTTATCTCTGAAATACATGTCTATAAGAACTTCCACATGGACGTTCAGAATGATCTCTACCACGGGCGTCATTGTAGCCATCACGATCACTAAATTGAAAAAAAAATTCTTAATGTCAGAATGAACCATTTAAGAAATCTATTTGACAAATCCAGGAAATGTTATAGTACCTATATTCTCTAAAGGAATATTCACCCTGACTAGAATGACCATAATCACAGTACGCATAGTCTCTAGATGGTGGAGCATAATCACTAGTTTCTTGGGAAAGTGGATGATTTCTGTATGCATAAGTTTAAGCACCGAATTTTGAATTTTCATCAATTAGTTTCCAAAACATAACTAACTTACAACTTAAACAAAATTAAAAGGCCAAACATCTAAATAGATATTTCCCCAAATAAACTAGACAAATGCCCAACTAGCACATGGAACAGATACTCATAATCAGTGATTCAGAAAATGCATTTCAAATCCAAAGTGAGATACCATTCTTCACACACACACTAGAATGGCAATAAATTTTAAAAAGCAGGAAATAGCAATTGTTTGAGAGGGTGAAGATAAATTGGAACCTTGATACAATGCTACCTGGAATGGAAAATGATGCAGCTACTAGGAGAAATGTGGTGCTTCCTCAAGAAAACAAACATAATTATCATAGGACCAAGCAATTCCACGTATATATACACCCAAAATTGAATAAGTGTACTCAAACAAATACTGGAGCATAGAAATACTGTGGTGGAAACAACCCAAATAAAATAATGGGTTAACAGCTTGTGGAAGGAGTGAAGTGCTATGATGTAAATGAAACTTCGGGACATGATACAAAAGGAAAGGAGACAGATACAAAAAGTCATGCAGTGTGTGAGCCCATAACATTAAATGCCCACAACATGTAAGTTCAGAGGCAGAACACAGATTGGTGTTTGCTAGCAGCTGAGGGAAGGGAGAAAATGAAAGCGACTGCTCAACTGGTAGTTGGAGTTTTAGTTTGGAGTCACAAAAATGTTTTGGAACTCGATGGAGGTAGTTGCTGCATAACACAGAATATATTTAATGCCACTTAACTGTTTACCTTATAATATTTAATTTTGTTATGTGAATTTCATCACCATAACAAAAAAAATCGACTATTTTTTCCGTTTTATCTTTACCTATTCTTAGTTGCATAACCATCTCTTGGAGACATATGGTCTTTTCTCCGGGAAGAGATTGGCTCTCTGCATGGAGGACTTCCGTAATTCTCTCTTCCATGTGATATGGGACCTTTAATATTAAAATGATGAAACATGTAAAGAACAGCCAGTCTGAAACACTATTTTCTCTTCTCTTAAACAACTTTTTAAAATTATTTCTTCTATGACTCTGTTCTTTGTTCCTTAAATTACTAGAAAGTCATGGCATTGTGAATATTTCTTATGGCTTTGGATAATCCCATGGCTCCCGCAAGCCCAGTCCTTCTAACAAAGCAGAAGGCAGACATTAATTCTTAGGTAAAAGTTCATTTGTAATGGTAAATAACTACTTAATTATTATTTTTCTTTTCATATTAATTACTGATGACTACCAATGACACAGGGAAAACATGTAAAACCACCAAACTCTTCACGAATTTTAAAGTTATATACATTGTCCTTTCTCAGCTGAAGAAGGTAAATTTTGCCATGTTGTTCAATCCACCTCACACACAAATAATGCTACCTTTGAATGACTGCACGCTAAATTTTTACAAAAAATTCTCCTTTATCTCTAAGTGGTTGGCTCTATCTTAAATGTTGACAAATTAAAATGTACTAGTGAAAACTTTCTAATGATGGCCAAGATTTACTTTTACTGCAATAAGCAATACTGTTAAAGGGGTCATTACAACATTGTTGCTATTTCAAAATAGAAAAGCTTCTCCTTTAATATACTCTTTATGTGCTGTTCCTTAGAGGTCAGTCTTTCACCTATGATATGTTCAATGGCTAATTTTCCAATGAAAATGTGTTGGCTTGTGTATCCTGAAGTCAATAAATACCTAATTTCACCGATACTCTACATATGAAATGTAAAATAGAAAATGGCAGTTTTCAATTTCCTCCATATTAGGGTGGAGGACTAAGTAAGAATTTTAATTTGTTGTACTTAAACTTATTTGCTAAGAACTCTTATTTATTGTCTTGCTTTCTTCTGTTTGGTCTGCAATCTTATGATTCTCTTTTTCAAAAATATTACTTCTGTTCAATCCTACTGCTCACCTCAGGTTGCTTAGTTCTAAATTCTCTCCTCAAATAATTTCCAATCTTACACTAAGGATCTTGTGTTAATGTTTAAACATCCCAGTACAACCTTAATTATTGATTTACATGCCCTCATATTTCATAACTCTGCACTTCTGTCATATCCACTTAATTTAAGAATATTGTACTCCTTCCTGTCTACCTTTCAAGACTTAATTTTATTTTTTAAATAATATTTAAGCCCAGTGACTCCTTTTCTGCTAAATGCTCTTGCAGTTCTTTTGAATCTTCATATAAGCAGTAAGAATGCCTTGCACATAAACATTATTGAGGTCTCAGAAGCTGGATGGCCAGGCGCAGCAGCTCACACTGTGAGCCAGTGTGGAAGGCTGAGGAAGCTGGACTGTTTGAGCCCTGGGCTTTAATGTCAGTTTTGACAATGTAGTGACATCCTGTCTACAAAAATACAGGAAAAAAATTTAGCTAGGTGTGGTGATGCATGCCTGTAATTGCAGCAACTCAGGAGGCTGAAACAGGAGAATTGCTTGAGCCCAGGAATTTGAGGCGGTAGTAAGCCATCATTTCACCAAGGCACTCTGACCTGGTAAGAGCCAGACTCCAACCCAACAAAGAAACTCAACAAGCAAATTTTCAATTGGGACACCAGGGCACCACTACCAGGGGACCTAGGAAATGGAAGAATTCTTTAGATGAAGAAGCCTACCATCAAAGAATACTTCTAAGAACTTATAGAAATATTAAGGGGAATTATCTTGCAAACACAGGATTAAAAGGAATGTTGGCCTCACTCTAATCACTTCTTTCATCTGCAATGAGAAATGAAGAAGTGTATTTCTTCAACATAAATCTGAGTGTACCTAGTGAGATAGAAACTATAATAAAAGGTATCGATCAGTAATTATGCCCAATGATGTGTCGCTTATCTTTTAATCTATGAACTTAAATTTAAGAATCCAGTTAAAATAGCTCATTTTTAGTCATACACAAAGTATGGTCTTTCTATCAGGTAGCATTTACCTTGGCCTCCCATCCAACTATTGCTTCTTGCCATAGCAGAAGGAGCAGATTTTTTAGGAGGAAGACCTCCACTTCGTGAAGATGGACCTCTTTTAACTGGAATGGCTCCCCTAGAAGAACTCATGTTGAGATCAAGAGTGTATCCATCATCATCTGTATTTTGAACAAAATCATTTTAGTTAACTAGCATGACTTTCTTGAATGACTAAGTTTTAGTTGTTTATAAAGATTTTCTATATATTATAATCTTACAAATTCACATTTGTCTAAACTAATAAAATTAACATTTCTACATGAAATTAGTACAATTCAAGCAATAAAAGTCTTTTTAGAAAATCTAGAAAGAAACTCAAGAATCATAATATATTGGTGTGAGAGAGAGATGTAGGAAAAGTGGGGAGTGAACAGGGAGCAAATATCAATCAGTAAAATATCTAAGTATAACATACATAAAAATATTAAAGAAAAATGATAATTGATTGTTTATATCATTCTGTTATGAGGAAAATTTTTCATAGCATATCATAAACTAAATTCCATTCAAAGAAACTCAAATATTTACAATATCAAAAGGTGACACATCAAGAAAATACATTATCTTTAAAATTCATTAACATAGTATAGAATTCTTACAATTCCTTTATGAAACACTAATTTTCAGATTAGATTATGTTAAATTTTAATAATCTTTAAGAATAGCTTATTAAGTAATAGAAAAAATAGTTATATATATATGTACAAAAACTGTAGACATATGGCAATTGGTAGGTGGTGTTATAGGTTAGAATATGCACATTCTCATACATGGCATAGTATTATTGAACCTCTCCCTCAAGATGAATGGAAACAAAATAACCATGAAGCTATACATCTTAAAATGGAGCAACCACTGCAATTTCAAATTTAAAAAACAACTCCAATTAATTACACATCTGGTCATTAAAACACAAAATTAAATGACAGATTTTTGAAGGTTGGTTAACAGATAATACAAGTTAATTCATAGGCTTATTGATTGATTGATTGAGATGGACTCTTGCCCTACTGCCCAGGCTGGAGGGCAATGGCATTATGTCAGCTACCTGCAGCTTCTGCCTCCCAGGTTCCAGTGATTCTCCTGCCTTAGCCTCCTGAGTAGCTAAGATTAAAGGTACGTGCCACCACACCAGGCTAATTTTTTTGTATTTTTAGGAGAGACAGGGTTTCACCATGTTGGCCAGGCTGGTATGGATCTCCTGACCTTGTGGTCCAGCTGCCCCGTACTCCCCAAGTGCTGAGATGACAGGCATGAGCCACCTTGCCCACCCCCATATACATGGTTTGTTTTTCTTTTTTATGTGGAAATTGACCCCTCACTTCTATTGTGTAAATCACTCATAAATACCATTTTCAGTGACTCACCTTCCAGCAAGAAAAATACATACATATCTGTGAAGCAGTGTTTTTATGTCCTTTCCAGAGTCACAGACTCTTTTTAGAAATTAAAATTCTACATTTCTTAAATTGAAAATGCTTTATGGCAGGCCAATGTACAAACTGTCTGTATGAAAGTTACAAAGCAATGGATTTGCATACATGTTTGCACATGTATACACAAAAAAAACTAATATTGGAAAATCAATCCTAAGTACTGAATTACTTTTTTTCCTGTTGGAAAGTGTTAAATATTCCATTGTATTTTGATAATACAACTGATACGAAGTTCTGCGCCCCAAAGTAGAAAACTCTATGAAGTATAATGAATACAAACGAGTTCTTCAGAACACCTGTTGAGTACAGGCAATCAGCGTTAATAAACTCAATTCAGTTTGAAATCTGTGCTATTTCAATGCAAAGTTATAATAATTTTAAAACAAATTTTAGATATTAGAGCAACAATTCTTATAATACAACTTTAGTACTTAGAAATAATTTTGCTTCTTATTAATATGTTAATTTTCTGTTCATAAAGGAAATAAATAAAATTGGGAAATTTTGATATCTTCAAACTTATTTTCTTCCAGTCCTATAGTTCCATCTTTATATTTTAAAACATTACCCAAGTGTCCTTCATGTGAGGGAAGCCACCCTCCTGTTCCTCCACTACTTCCTCTTGCAGATCTCAGACTTCCTGAAGGGCTTCTGTTTCTCGAAGAAGCTGGTGGTCTCCGCCTACCACCACTTTGAAAAGATGATTTCTTTGCTTGTTCTACTTTTATTTCTTTTCCATCTGAAGACTAAAATTATTAAGGGTACTATCAATAACATTGGCAAGAATAAACCTAACCACATTTTACAAACATTTTTACATCAACTATAGTTTGATTCTAGATATTTTCTCCCAAAGCAAACTTTTTTTTCCTCCTAAAATGAACATGTCTTTCACAATACCAAATATGAGACATTTACTGAACACATGCCTTCCATTAAGGGATCAAACACAAATTCTATTATTCAAATTCCTTGAAAACTCCTTCATTATTAAAAAAATAACACCTCAAACAAAACGATTAACCCATCACACATTCTATGGAAGAATGTGGCACATCTTTTTTTTACAATATATAATCCACTTCATCTTTGTATTCACATCACTGATTTTAAAGTTTCAGTGTCCCAACGAAACTTGTGTCATTTAAAAAAATGAGGTTACTTATTCAAAGTGATTAGTCAAATTAGTTATTGTGAGTTCTTTCTTGTTTGATCTGCTAACACTTACATAAAATGTCCCCATATGATTTATAATTCTGTGTTTACTCTAGAAACGTTTCTGTAAATGTGATCCTTGTTTGATCTCATTAAGTTTTCTTGCCTTATTCATTTCTTATTTTGCCTTAGACGTGCCCCTAAAAAATGACTCTTAATATAGTACTTCATGTTGTTTCTCAGAAATGCTTAAATGTGCTAATTAATTTCACAATAACATTTTTCAGTATAATCTTTTCTATAGGACAAAGTAATTTTTGAAAACAGTTCAGATAATAAATAACTCTTTTAAAATTACATGGTTTTTGTTATTTGGGGGAAGATCTTAAATCCCTTACAAGACCCCTTGCAGCCACATCACCAGTTGTTCCTACCTTGAAACTTCTTTTGTTATTTCTGGGCCCAAAATATTTTCCCCAGATTTGTGCATGGCTGCTTCCTTCCCAGTGTTCCAAAGTCAGTCAAAATTCCTTAAACTTTTAATTGCCCCTGAAAACTCTAAGAATCTCCTTTGTTGGCTATCTTAACATTTATGTGCATATAACATTCATATTTATGCTTACACAATAAAATATGTGAGATGAAGTAATTCAAAAATAACCATTGGCTGGGCACGGAGGCTCACACCTGTAATCCCGATGATTTGGGAGGCCTAGTCAGGCAGATCATGAGGTAAAGGGATAGAGATCATCCTGGCCAACAGGGTGAAAGCCAGTCTCTACCATAACTGCAAAATTTATCTGGGTGTGGTGGCATGTGCCTGTAGTCCCTGCTACTCAGGAGGCTGAGGTGGAGAATTGCTTGAACCTGGGAGGAGGAGGTGGCAGTCAACTGAGATCGTCCCACTGCAATCCAGCCTGGCAACACTGCAAGACACCACCTTAAAAAAAAAAAAAAAAAAAAAAAAGCAAAAAATCTGCGCAAATTACCTGCTCTTGTGCTTGAAAACTAGGGGGGAAAAAGAAATGATCATAGATGACTATAAATAAGTAAAAATTATCTCCATAACTACCACAAAGCCATGAATCAAAAGCTACTCTGGGTTTCTACCACAGCTTAAAATATTAATTTATAAGAGTGAATAAAAATGTACTTTCTGCTATGTGCCACCAAGTGTACTAGATGTAACAGAAATAAAAGCAACTAGGAAGCCTTAAATATGCCCTGTAGACAATTTAACAATCTATAGACTAATATGTGGTACAGTGAGTACAGAATATCTATGATATGCAATGTGGAAGAAAATATGAAATCAAAGTTGTTTTTGAAGGATGAATTGTTATTTTTGAGACATACATATGAAAGAATAGTTTTCAAGAGTTCAGAAAAGCATTTTAGGGGTAGCATAAAGAGCAACAGGAGATAACAGATTGGGATAACGTTATAAAGCAAAAAAGCTCTAAAGGGCCCAGAATGGAATTATCTTGACTAGAATGTAAAGGAATTCAATACTTAGTAGAATTACATAAAATTTTAAAGCTTTAGTAAACACACATTCCCTAGATTTAAGACTCAATAGGACAAGAGACGATTGTTTTGATCAAAACATGTCCTCAAACACACTGGGAAAATGAGCAGTTAGATATTCATGTTACATAAACTACTCTGGTGAGAGGAAAAAAAGGTCCTTAGGAGAAAAGAGCAAGGATGGGGTAAAAATTCCAGTTCCTTCTTCTGTTATCCAACTTCGATGTTCTGATATTATTTTCTATTTTCAAGTACTTAACACTTCCTTAACTGTAAAGTTCTTATTTAAATATACTTTCTCAAAAGTATATTTTCAGAAAATGGGAGAGAATCTTTCCTTCTTGTGAGTCTGTCTAGATATCTATCCACAGTTTTTATGTACTATAGAAGTATTTCCATGAATTGGAAATAAGTCCATTGAGAGCATTTAATGAATGCTCACTTAGTCCTTTCACTTACAGGGGGATTCCTTCTGGGTTTTAATGCTCTTGGAAACCTTTGAAAATCTATTTACACTAATATTGAAATACAAAAATAGAAAAAAGTTACCATATATTAATTTATATAATGTTAATTGCAGTACCCTTCCAACTACACTTTCAGGTATATGGCACAAAGAAGAGAATGGCTAAAGAATTTTGGTCCATATGGCATTCTACTATCTTTAACACTTTAGTAATTCTAAAAAAACCTAGAAATACTGTTAATTGAAAGCCAGAGTTATAGTATTATTAATAAGGGACTCTTACCTTTCCATTCATATCTTTGGCAGCATTCTTAGCATCTGCAGCATTCTCAAAAATAACGAACGCAAAGTCTCTGGACTTGCTGGTTCAACCCTTTATCAGAAGAACTAAAATATATAAAAACATTTTACAATTATATAATGGACTCACTGAAGTACTAACCATCTGAAAGTTACATCAAACCAAAAACAAACTGCATTTCACGTCACTACTATAATTATTAATACTAAGTCATCCCTATAGTCAGCCTATTTTATTCCAGTTTGTTTCCTTACTCCACAACACATTTAATTTTCGTCATTTTCCTTTCTAAGTAGTAAGTGATCCTTACCACAGGCCCTTCACCTGTTGCTATGAGAATTTTTCAAATATCAAATAGTTATTTCAAAATAAGAGTTTACAAATGATTAGGCATTTTAACGTATGTATACAATGAACTTTGCAAAAATACATATTTTAAATATACATATTGAAATATACATATGAAAATACACACACACACACACACACACACACACACACACAAATACACATGGCTTTAAGAGTTACCTTCTGAGGCCGGGTGCCGTGGCTCACACCTGTAATTCCACCACTCTGGGAGGCCTAGGCGGGCGGATCACGAAGTCAGGAGATCGAGGCCATCCTGGCTAACACGGTGAAACCCCGTCTCTACTAAAAAATACAAAAAAATCAGCCGGGTGTGGTGGCGGACGCCTGTAGTCCCAGCTACTCTGGAGGCTGAGGCAGGAGAATGTCTGGAATCAGGGAGGCGGAGCTTGCAGTGAGCCGAGATCCCACCGCTGCTCTCCAGCCTGGGCGACAGAGCAAGACTCCGTCTCAAAAACAAAACAAAACAAAACAAAGTTACCTTCCAAAAGGGGACCATGTTTCGCAAACACTTCTTTCAGCATCTTTTTCACTGGCTTCTCTATTGAGGCCACCAATGAAAGCTTCCCAGGACAATCTGCTTCTACCATTGTTCTGTAAATGGAAAATAAATAACATAACATAACATAACATAAATAAAATAAAATAAAATACTCTATTTTGATAAAAATAAGCTAAAAAGATAAAATTTTATTATATACTGTGTTGAAAATTCAAGTAAAATTCCCTTCCAGAGGCTAACATTTTGTTAGTATTTCTTACTTTAAATATTTAAAATTTGTAACTTACAGAGCAAAAGGGGCACTGACTTCATGGAGAAATGCTGCATTTTATTACGTAGGTGGCAAAATCTCATTTCTAAAAATTAGATAAGAAAAGCTATTGTAATTTTCCTAAATTGCAATATGAAGGATGTCCCCAGTTAAATAATTTTATTTGCAAACTATATATTTATGAGGTACAGTGTGATGTTTTGTGTATTTTTTTTTTTTTTTTGCTTGAGATGTATATCTCCTGTTGCCAAAGTGCACTGCTTACTGCAGCCTCCTCCAGCCAGCCTCAAATGATCCTCCCACGTTTCAGCTTCCCAAGTAGCTGGCTGGGCAATTTTTCTGTGTTTTTTTAAATAGACACGGTTTTCCTTATATTGCCCAAGCTGGTCTCCAAATCCTGGGCTCAAGCACTCCGCCAGCCTGGGACTACCAAAGTGATGGGATTTCAAGTGTGAACCACCACGCCTAGCTTGATATTTGGATGGAAGATTAAATCGAGCTAATTAAAATATTCTAGGGGGAGATCATTTTAAATATTTTACCATCTTTTTAGTGATTTGAAATATATAATAGATCAAGGATCCCCAAACACTGGCCTTCACAGTATACCTGTCGGTGGCCTGAATGTAATGCCTGGGGATAACCTGTAATACCTGTCTGTGGGGAGTGTAATGCCTGAGGATGACCTGAGGTGGCACAGTTTCATCAAGAAACCATCCTCCCCAGCCTTCCCCCGGAATCCCGCTGCCCCACCCTGTCCCTATGGCAGCCCTGCTGCCCCACCTGTCCCCTGTCACACTGCTGCCACCAGAAGCCCCACCCCACCACGTGGCCCTCGGGGCCCTGCCAGCAGCCCCCACCCCTAAACGTGTCCATCTCACTGCCTTCTTCCCCTGGGCAACACTTGTCTGAGGAAAAATTATCTTCCACTAAACCGGTCCCTGGTGCAAAAATGGCAATCGATTAAAGGAGCCCATATGTTATCGAGGCTGATCTCCAACTCCTGACCTCAAGCCATCCTCCTACTTCCACTTCCCAAAATGCTAGGATTACAAGAGTAAGTCCGTGTGCCAGGGTAATAGAATAACTTGAGCGGATTTATTTTGTTTTCATTTAAGTCTATCCGACTCCATTTAACTTGATTACACCCAGTTACTCGGTTTAAATTACTTAGGGGCCACAGATACAGGAAACATGTTTCAAATACTGTCATACAAGGAAAGAGACAATTACAGGCTTTACAGAGGCAAATTTGAACTGAGGTAATGTATAGCCCCAGACGGCTACATACACTAAAGTATGCCAAAATTTGATAATTCTCACCAAGCAAATCACATACGTGACATGTGCTGACTAAAAGTACAGGTATTTAATCGCGGTGGTTAAGTATATTGCATATATTTTGAATTATGACCACATTCACAGAGAAAAACTGCTTTAATAAAAAGTGCACATGAAAATAATGGCACCGCAGCACCATCTCCCACGACTTGCCCACATGTCAGACATGTCCGACGGTTAAAGGCAGAATCCTCAAGAAAAATCAGAGTTTAACAAAAATGAGTTTCTTAATAGCACTAAGGAATTCTCTCCCCACTGTCTCCTTGCATAATTCAACGCCCACACATAGAAAACCCACCCCCTACAATCCCAAACCTTTGCTTTCTATTCTTGCCAAAAGACCAACCTGTGCAGAGAAACAGAAATTACAGGTGCTTTTCAGTAGGACAAACAGCCTCAGGGTCGCCCGGGCCTCAGGTCGTATGCATCCGGCTTCGGGACACCACAGGGCCAACTGCCGGAAAGATCCTCGGAACTGGCCTGAGCTGGAAGGAAGCCAGAAGCCATGCCTGGAAATCTCCCCTACCTCCAGGGCCAATCATTGTGAGGGCGGTGGGCGTCGGCCAATTATTGCAAGGGCTGTAGGCGTCTCCCGAGGCGCCCTGCCCAACGCTGGCCTGCAGCTCCATCCTTCCGCAGTAAGCCTCCTCTGAGAAGATGCTTGTGCTAGGTGGTGGTGGGTTCAGGTACACATGGACTGTGCTCCCTTTGGAATTGTGGGCATGGACGACCTACACCCTAACTGGTATTCTGAGTGTGGCAAGCCATTGACCCACAGAGAACACATGAAACATCTCACTTCATTAGGCAGGCTAGGCTGATGGTACTGAATATTGCAGATCCAGAGGGCAGAGAGAGGGACCAGCGCTGCCTGCTGGGGAAAGGGCAGCGGCGGTGGCTTTCGGAGAGTGGGGCAGGGCGGGCACGTGGGAGGAAAGTCATCTGGTACCTTGCTGGGGTGGAATTCGCCTGCACCAGAAGTCAAAACCCCGCAAGGACTTTTTCAGATCTAGGGAAATACAGACTCCAAGTTCCATGCTTCCTCCCTGAGATGCTTTACTCCCAGGGGTATTCCAAAGGCTCTCTTGTCCTATGCCCTGGGCACACCAGAGACAAGCTGCCGTGGTTGCCCATCCGATGACCTGTGTTCACTGACTTGCTGGCGCAGAGGCTCCCATAAGCTCAGCACCCATTGGCCGCGGTGCCTGCCAGAGGGGCTCTGGAAGCCCAGGGCCTCTGCCTACGGCTCCTGGGCTCCTGTGTGCAGCTAACCCTGCAGGGAATCTGGGCCTCATGACGAGTGCGGAAGGCTATGGATCCTGCAGGGCTTCCCAGTAATCCTGGGTCCACGCAGGTGTGAGACCGTGATTCTCAGCTAGGCGAGGCCCCGGGGCCTCTCGGGGAGCGGCCCCCAGAGTCTAGGGGTGCCAGGGGCGGGGGGTGAGCAGCTCAGACCTTGGTCTGTGGGAGCCCTAGGAGGGCACCGTGTTAAGTCTGGAGGCTCTGCCGGAGAGGGCAGCCTGGGGGGAAGAGGTGTGCTACTGGTGGATGACATCACGGCAGAGGTGGAAGTGGTGGCCAAGGAGGAGGCCGACGTGGAGCAGCAGCAGGAGGACCACTGGGCAGAACCTGTCCCTGGCCCCAGGAGGCCCCGGCCCGCAACGGACTCGCTGGAGGTCCATCATTTGCAGCTGGGCTCTGTAAATGCCTCAAACCACAGGGCATCCCCGGCTCCTGGGCCAGAGCCATGTCTTTGCAGCTGCCAATTTGGGATGCCTGGCAGCAGGGGGTGGGCATCTAGGTCCTGGGAGTGGGGTTGGGAGGAGCCAGGTGGTAGGCACAGGGGGTCATCCAGGAGTCAGGGGATGGAGGACAATGAGGGGAGCAGGGGCCAGACTTCTGCAGATAGGAGGGCAGTTTGCTTGCGAGTGCCCTGAGGGCAAGTAGAATAGGAACAGGAAGCAAATCACAGCACTCACAAGAGAGAAGAGCAACGCAAAAGGACCCTTTACGCACAGCAGAAAGTTGAAGGGCACATTTCCCTGGGAGAGTCCTTGGAGGAAGGGGAGTCTGTGTGCCCATGCCAGCCATGGAAATACCCCTGCTCCCCATACCTGTGTCCAGCAGGCTTACCCCAGAAACACAAGGTGCTCAAGATTCAGGTTCAATGTGCACTGGGCTGCTGTCCTCTGCAAGGCAGGCACCAGCTCCATGGACAAACTTTCTTCCCTCTGCTGGTGCTGCATCCAAAGAGGTGTAGGCCCTGAGCATATATAGCCTCTGTTGCACCTGTGTGAGCCCCATGGGGAGAGCCAGGCACAGCCTTGCAGCCCCATCAACCCACAGAGATTCCCTCGGGTGGACACATCCACCCCTCAGGGAGACTAGAAGAGGACACTGCACACTCGGACAGCAGCAGAGCCTGTCCAGCACCCAGCACATAAGGGCCTCCTGCAGCTCAGGAACCCTGAGGAAGCAGCCGCCTCACACCAGAGCACCCCACCCCCTAAACCTCTCCCCACTTCTTCTGTGCCTGCCCCTTTTCACAGCAGGCTGTCTGGGCCTGGCTTGACCCTCTGCCAAGACCACCACACCAAGGTGTGGTGCCAGGTCAAAGGCCTGGGTGACAGCCTTGTCCATACTCTCCATACTCTTGCAAAGTTGCAGGTTGTTTCACATCATGTCCCCCACCCAAATCATCCGTTGGCTCCTAGACCAGAAGCAGATTGTGGGGCACACCCAGATATGGGCTGAGATCATAAATGATGAAGTCCTGCTGAGCTACATGATGGATTTGCAGGTTATGCTGCGGAGCCTGGATCAGCGGGAGGGGTCAGGCATCTGGGTCTGGTTGAAGTCCCCATGGGGCCCAGGGGTATCTAAGAGGGAGAGCTGGGAAAGGAAAACACATGTAGCAGGCCACCTTAGTCCAGGTACATGAAATGGTCCTTTGAGTCCATCTTCTTTCTCCCTCTTGGCCAGGGAGGTGGAGGAACTCAGCCACCCCGGGTACCGGCATCAGGATGAAGTTTTCCTTTTGTCACAATCTTTACTTCCACAATGAAGTGGTCATTCAGGAGTACTGTGTTGGCATCCTCGGTCAGGAGTGACTCCCAGCATGGTAGTGGAAGTTGTGTGTGGGAGGGTAGGTCTGGCCTGAAACTTCCTGTTTCCCATCCCTCCAAGAAACTGGGTGTCTCATTCCACTGCAGTCCAGTGGTTGTGGGATCATGAAGGTTAAGCCTCCAGCTTCAGGCAGTGCACCTCCATGTGACCTTCTTCAGCTAGTTGGCTGACCATGGCTACCCAGGTCCCGGCAGGATTGCTGAGGTGGGCACCACGGTAGGGCATCATGGGAAAAAAACCTTGCTGGTCATTCCTTGGCCTCTGGGGAATTGGCTTTGAGCCATGACCTAACCTGTCCTGTACCCACTTCTGCAGTCCCCCAATCATCAGCCAGGGCCTGTGGCTCAATCCCCTGCAGTACTTCCTGAGGGAGGGAGGCAGTTAGAGAGGGAACAGAGAGGAGGCCAGGTTAGGCAGTCTTGGGCTTGGGACTGAGGGGCTTTTGATTATTGGAGCTGTGCCCCACATGGAGAACACAAGCCTCAGGGAAGAGAGTGCAGTGAGCAATCCTAGGCCATCCATGGGCTGAAGGAGAAAGAGCCTTCAGGGAACTGTAACACTCATGTTTCAGGATTAGGGAATCTTAAGTCACCTAATAGGCATAAGTGTCTAAGGTCAGTGGGTGAGAAGCAAGGCTCAAGGGATAGCTAGCTCATTGTTGAGTTTTAAGATACATTTTGATTGTTCTGCTCCTGCAAATTTTATGATCATTTTTGCAATATAGAGACATAGAATCCAGAAAAATTTTGAGTGACGTTCAACTTCTTTTAGAGTACTTACTTGTAAATTTTTATTTTTTCCCCTTGTGGTTCTCTTTAATTTATTATTTGTACTTTATATGCAAAGTGATACATTTGTTTTTTTAATTTGCCTCTTGTGGAACTTTTGTTTAAAGAACACTTTTTTTTTCTGTTAGATATGTGAGTTTGCCTGTGAGCTCTTTTTCTAGTACAGTTTTTTTTTCCATTGTGTGTGTGTGTGTGTGTGTGTGTGTGTGTGTGTATTGAGACAGCATCTCTCTCTGTTACCCAGGCTAGAGTGAAGTGGCATGATCTTGGCTGACCTCAACCTCTGCCTTCCAGCTTCAAGTGATTCCCCTGCCTCCCAGCTTCAAGTTATTCCCCTGCCTCAGCCTTCCCGAGGAAGTGTGATTACAGGAACATGCCACCATGTCCAGCTGATTTTTGCATTTTTACTCCAGATGGGGTTTGACCATGTTTGCCATGCTGGTCTCAAACTCCTGACCTCAAGTTATCTGCCTGCCTTGGCCTCTCAAAATGCTGGGCTTACAGGCACAAGCCATCATGCCTGGCCTCATTTGTTTGTTTATGCATTTTAACCCTTGCTGTATTTTCTTCATGAACACATACTTTAGAGTTATTGGAATAATATGCTTTATTTATTTACTCAGTACTTAAGTAGGATTTTAAAAGTAATGTTTTCATTCACTAAATACAGTATTGTGAATAGGTAAAACCTTATGTACTATTGTCATTTTCTATTTCATAAATTCTTCAAGAACTCTGACACTGGTTTTCCCCCACCTGAGGAGAATATTCAGATAGTTACATAAAACTGTGTGAGTTAGTTGGTATGAAAATATAATTTGAAAGACAAAGTTCACAAATATAATTCCACATTTGGATTTCACATCATTTTGAAAATTCTTATGCTGATGAATAAAATCCTGCATTCATGTTCATATTAAATATGAACTTTTGAATCATTTTCAAGAATAAAAACAATCCAAGGCCATGCATTAGTTCAGGAAGTAGGTAGAAAGCAGTTGTTATGAAGAAAAGCCATCTTTATTGAAGGTATATTGAGATAGATTTTGGAAGGCTAAGTCAAGATTTTCCTCGTTGATACTCTGGTGTTTTGTCATACTGTGACCAGACTGTGGCACCACTGGTTATAGTCACTAGGCTACCAAAGTCCTTGGGCTGCAGTAATTATTATTGAGGAAAATGGCAGTGTGGTTGGCTGTTTAAGGAGACTAGAGGACTTCGGAGTTTCTACCCAAGGCGCAAGGGCCTGATTTATTGGGTGGCCTTCTTTTGCTGAATAGATAAGTCCAGGCAAAATGTGGACTCACTGTAGTAGCTAGGGCTTTGAGACTGGTGAAGGCTATTTGTCTCCAACTGCCATTGCCAGATACTGGTCTGCACATAATGGCACTTCCTAGGCTCACTGACTCCTGTAAATTCAAACATAGCATTTGGATTTAAATCCCTATTCCAAATTATTAATCATAGATTTAATAAGTGGATAATAAAAGATGTATTCAGAAGGAAGGGAGACATCAGATAAATGCATAATAAACCATCCTGATCAAACACTTTCAAAAGTATTACTACAAAAAAATCACTGAAAATTAAATCTTAAAAAGTTATTTTAACTGGAGAAATAGAAAAAATGAGACTTGTTTTAAACTCTGATGTGTGAAGATACTATTATTAGAATAAGAGAATAATATAGAATGTCTAATTTATGTGTAGAGCAGCATACTAGCTATATAGTGTGGCTAGAGATTGAAAACCCATGTAAGAAAACTCAGAGATTAACAATAAAATTTTTTCAGAGACTTTGTTCTGTAATTAAAGAGTTTTAAAATGGTTTCCTACTGATCAATGATTCACTTATATTTATCATTTAGGCATATGCAGTATACTCTTTTGTATAGGGACAAAGTTATGGTTCCTATCACTAGTAAGAAAAAAAAATTGACGGTGTACCACATTTGCATCAGAGTCTTTGACCTGAGTAATGAAGCAAACAATGGAACTGTCTATGTCAGGGTACAGGTGGGCATAGCTGGAAGCTTCCATCACATGCTTCTAATATTTCTGGATTGTCATCGGTTCGTCCTAGAAAGACAAATGGACTATAACTATCCTTAAGAAAATATGTTAAATTTAAACCCTAAGTGTTAAGATAAAACTATGATTTGTCTTATCACTTACATCTCGTCATCACTTTAAACTTGTGTCTATAAATTTTATACAGAAATTCAGTTCATTTTATCACCATTAATATTTTACATCACACATTTTTTCTATTTCATTATCTTTTTAGCACTTTTCTTTTCTTTTTTATGGTGGATTTTCGTTCTGTCACCCAGACTGGAGTACAGTGGCCTGATCTCAGCTCACTGCAAACTCTGCCTCCAGGGTTCAAGCAGTTCTCCTGCCTCAGCCTCTTGAATAGCTGGGATTACAGGGATACACCACCACTCCTGGCTAATTTTGTATTTTTAATAGAGATGGTGTTTCCCCATGATGGTCAGACTGGTCTTGAACTCCTGACCTCAGGTGATCCACTGCCTCAGCCTCTCAAAATGCTGGGATTACAAGCATGAGCCAACATGTCTAGCCTTTTTTTGTTTGTTTGTTTGAGACAAGTTCTTGGTTGGTCACCCAGGCTGGAATGCATTGGCACAATCTTCACTCACTGCAGCCTTGACCTCCTGGACTCAAGCTATCATCCTGCCTCAGCCTCCCACATAGCTAGGACTACATGTGTGCAACACCAACCAGGCTATGTTTTTGTTTACGTGCTTAATGATGAAGTCCTGCTATATTGCC
The DNA here is from genome assembly GCF_000001405.40 of Homo sapiens. Lineage (NCBI taxonomy): Eukaryota > Metazoa > Chordata > Mammalia > Primates > Hominidae > Homo > Homo sapiens. The sequence continues at coordinate 8,897,989 of NC_000024.10, read as the reverse complement.
CAAGCTGGTCTCAAATTCCTGGACTCAGTGTCCTCTTAGTTTAAGTTCCCAAATTGCTGAAATTACAGTGGTGAGTCAATGGAGACAGCCTTGTCACTTTTTAATAATTTTTTAAATTCCATTTTGCAAAATTAACAAGTCAATTTTCACATTTGAAATTCAAAATTCCAAGTCAACTTCGAGTAGATTTTCATAAAGAGGTAAAAATGAAACAAAACAATACAAAACACTTCCTTTTCCTTTGTTCCAAAGTGAGCAAAGAGTTGGGAAGGAAATCGTCTCTACTTTGCTTTACAAAACTAGACTGTACAGAGAAAGTTCCTCATATAACTTTTGTTACATCTAAAATCCTGTGAAGTTATCATCAGAACCATCATCTTATAAACCAAAAACAAACCTCCTAGTGGGTCTATGATGTGGATTAAATATCTTATAATTAATAATATATGCAAATGTGATTATACTTATGCCTTGAACTGTAATATTAAAAATATGAACCTCATTTTTTTAGAACTACTATCCTAATAAGAAAATTATCCAATGACCTGGTATAATGATTTGTGGCCCAGAGAGCCAGCATTCTGAGCTATTCAGGTTCTTCAGATAGCCCAAGAGTGATAAGAGCTGAAAGCGGGTCTGGACATCTTGGAGGAGTGCAATGCCAGGTCATTTCTTGCTGCCCCACTCACCAACTGGAACCTCTCATGCAGTAGAGTGATAGACGCCTTCACAACTCTCAGTGGTGCCCCAGGGTGCCTCAGGCCCAGTAACACAGCAGTATCTTCAGGATTCCTGAGTTCATAGGCAAAGATTTATTACAGTACATTCATTAGAAAACCTGAACCTTAAACCTACATCAGGCTTTCCAGCATATTGTTTTAGTCATGATAAACAAGGTCCGTAGCTCATCTTCACTGAAATCAGAAATCTATGAATAAAGAGTCCACAGACAATGGGATTGCAGAGGAATTAACTAACAGAGGTACTAATAAGCCAAACACAGTGAGGCAATTTCTTTTAAGCCTAAAAAAAAAAGGTATCTGTATAAGTGATATGGTCATGCATTACAGAAGTGTATTTGGACAGATAAACTTTCAGCAACGTAATTATGGGATAATGAATTATAGAGTATGGGAAGAGGCAGGCACAAACTTACATGTTCCTGACACAGTGGGCAGCTGTGAGTACCCAAGAGCTGCTAAGTATGGAACCATTGCAGGTCTGTGCCACAGCTGATGATCATAGCCTTCCAAGGCATGGCATATCACAGATAAATCTGATCTGCCAAAGCCTAGGGGAAAATTCACACAATTAATTTGAGTATAATTGCCCTATGTAGACCATGTTTTAAAAATTTTAGATCCCTCCTATTTCTGCTAACAAGGTCAGCATTGTTAAATATGACTAGCATACACAAATTACTACCTCTTTTCCATTTTTTAAATGTTTTTCTTTAAAAAAATGTTATCCTCCTGTTATGTTTCCAAGTTCATAGTTTCTTTATGTCCTAGCTTAAATTTATTTAGTCAAAGTGTTGGAAGTCATTCCAGCTTTCTCCCCATTGCAACGTTTATATAGTTATGATTTTAGCTACTTAAAAGTTGTCAAAGTAGATAGGCAACAAAAATGATTTGATTTGGAGATATTAGATAAATAAAGAAAAATTTGGAGATAGGGCACCTGTCCCTAAATTGGTGGGGGCTTATCTTCCTCAACATACAATCTTAGTGTGATATCAAAATTATAGTTTAAATAGAACATTCAAGTTTGGGGTTAAGGAAAGAGCTCATATTTTAAAAAAATATTTGAGAATTTCTCAGAAAACTGAGTTGAAGAAATGCTGGTTAATAAATGTATAGATATAAAAATGATGAAGATAAGCTTTCTCTAGAAGGGGTGAGGAAATATAGATGAAATTAGAAGCATAACTATGATCTTAAGTGTAGTTGTCTTTGAATTAGACTTTGTAGGATGTGAGCAAATAATTGTGACCTCCTTTGTGTTTTAATGTATTATTCACTGTAGCTATGACAATGTGTGTTAGCTATAAAATAGCTGTGGTTAATTGCACATTTATTACATGACACCAAAAGAGATCCTTCAGTTTCTATGGAAATAAATGAATATACAATAATGTGAAATATCCATTGCTAATATTGTGATAGGTTTTCTGATAGCCAAGGGAAGGAGAAAACTGATAATCACAATGTAGTACAGTCTAGTACACCAGCACATAAAACACATTATTTAGCAACTGCTATGCTGCTTCCAAACATCATAATATCTTTAACTTAAAATATACTCAATTTAAAATAATTCTATTACACATGTAGGATACTGTGTGGTAGAAAAGAAATTTGTTTGTGTTAGGAGAGTGTGTCTTAATGTTAGTCCTATTCGTCTTCTGCCATAAGAACTTGATCAATCCATTCTACTTAACTAGTATAAGAGTAAGAAATTAAGATAACTATAATAATCATGTTATATGACCTATATTATACAGTAATCTATATCATACAGGGATACTGTGGAAATTTAATCATAGATCAATTGTGAAATGCCTTTGTAAACCATAAGAAGAATAATTTCTGTGATTTGATAGATAAAAAACTCATGTATTTCTCAGGAAGAGCATTCCTTCTCTGCTTCCTTCTCTTTTTTCTAATTCAATTCTCTTCTTCCATTACTTCCCCTACCAAGTTTTTGAGCCTTACTCTGAGGCTGTGGCAGAGAGAAGTGTGGTCAAGTAAAAGCAGGAGTGGAAGTAAAACCAAAGCATTTGTAGAGGTAGAGACTTAATGGGACACAGAAGCAGAGGTAGTCATGGGCTCTTGCTTGTACCAGGGAGCATGGCTAGACTGTGTCACTCCCTTGAACCAGGAAAGGAAAGGGTGCACTTGACCGAAGACCTAGGGCTTTGTGCCAGTTTTAAATGAAAGTCTGCTAAGCAGAGCTTCAGGCTGGGGCCATTGTTCTGCTGCTTGCAGCACAGGCACTATCCAGGATATAAGTGTTTCAAATTCAGACAATGTCCGTTCATTGATATTTTCAATTTCATGATGTGTCCATAAAATAGGTGCTTGATTTTCTTCATGAATCACAGGTCGTGAGTATGAGGTTGAGTTGGTAATGAAACTCTAAATATTTTAGCTTCAGGCATTTTCCAGAGTTTCTTAGCTTCAGTTTTACGCATTGTCCAACATGTGCCCCTTTCAGTCTCTGTATAAGAATTTGCATCTGGAAAATCATCATGAGTCCACTTCAAGAGTGTGGAAGCTGCAGCCTCTGTCCATGTTTTCATTACTGGAGACCTAGACTGGGTCCGTGGAGTAATTGATTCTGACACAGGTAGTGTCCAGGTTTTTCCTGCTGAAGGGGTAACTGGGTACATGGTAACATTGTGGAAACTACAGTCCATGCCCCTGGATGTTCTGCTGAGGATTCATCATGGTTCCACAATATAAAAAGATCAGATACAGTCTGTGTCCAAGTAATTCCTACTGGAGACTGCAGCATGCAGTCACAGTATAATTGTGTCACATACTGCCTGTGGAGGGAATGACTGCAGAAGAATCGACCTGGGTCCACAGTGCTAGTATATCAGATACAAGATGTGTCCAGTGTTTTGTTCCTAGAAGCAAAGCTTTGGTCCAATATCAGAGGAAATTCAGCCAGATATCAGGCAAAATTCACCCCCAATATTTCACGTAGGTTCTTATCTATTTTCCCTAAGCATTGGCTGGTTTGAGAAATAAAGGGAAATAGTACAAAAGAGAGAAATTTTAAAGCTGGGCATCCGGGGGAGACATCACATGTCGGTAGGTTCCGTGATGCCCCCCGAGCCGTAAAACCAGCAAGTTTTTATTAGTGATTTTCAAAGGAGAGGGAGTGTAGGAATATGGTGTGGGTCACAGAGATCACATACTTTACAATGTAATAGAATATCACAAGGCAAATAGAGGCAGGACAAGATCACAGGACCACAGGACTGGGGTGATATTAAAATTGCTAATGAAGCTTTGGGCCTGCAATGTCATTGATAACATCTTATCAGGAGACCGTGTTTGAGAGCAGACAAGCAGTCTGACCAAAAATTTATTAGGTGAGAATTTCCTTGTCCTAATAAGCCTGGGAGCGCTATGGGAGTCTGGGGCTTATTTCCTCCCTACGGCTGGACCATAGAAGACGACCACACCGAAAGGGGCCATTTTAGAGTCCTATCGTCAGGTACACGTTCTCTTTCTCAGGGATGTTCCTTGCTGAGAAAAAGAATTCAGCGATATTTCTCCCATTTGCTTTTCAAAGAAGAGAAATATGGCTCTGTTCTGCCTGACTCACCAGTGGTCAGAGTTTAAGGTTATCTCTCTTCTTCCCTGAAAATTGCTGTTTTCCTGTTCTTTTTTCAAGGTGCCCAGATTTCATATTGTTCAAACACGCATGCTCTACAAATAATTTGTGCAGTTAACACAAACATCACAGGGTCCTGAGGCGATATACATCTTCCTCAGTTTAAGAAAATGATGGGATTAAGAGATTAAAGTAAAGATAGGCTTAGGAAATCACAAGGGTATTGACTGGGGAAGTGATAAGTGTCCATGAAATCTTCACAATTTATGTTCAGAGATTGCAGTAAAGACAGGTGTAAGAAATTATAAAAGTATTAATTTGGGGATCTAATAAATGTCCATGAAATCTTCACAATTTATGTTTTTCTGCCGTGGCTTCAGCCTGTCCCTCTGTTAGGGGTCCCTGACTTCCCACAACAGTCCAAGGTGTGACTATGGAAGCTATTGCTTCTATTCACAGATTGACTGCTAGAGATACAGGCTGGGTCCACTGTGCTAATGTATTAGATATAGGCAGTATCCAGGTATTTACTAGTGAAGATTCAATTTGGATCAGTCCTATGCATGTGTCAGATGCAGGCTGTATCTATGTAATTAATGCTGCAGATTCAGATTGGGACCATAATCTGGTTGTATTAAATGAAGATTGTGGCCAGGTCTTCACTGTTGAAGATACAGCCTGTGCCAAAATTGTTACTGTATGAGCAAAAGTCTCTGTCCAAGGATTTATTGCTGGAAATTCAGCCTAGATCCAGGGTATAAGTTTGGAAGCAGCAGCCTCTGTCCAGGTATTTACTGGTAGACATTCAGTTTGAAACCATGCTTTCAGTGTAGCATGAAAAGTTTGTGAAAAGAAGATTAATGGGCCGGGCACAGTGGCTCATGCCTGTAATCCCAGCACTTTGGGAGGCCAAGGCGGGCGGATCACGAGGTCAGGAGATCGAGACCATCCTAGCTAACTCGGTGAAACCCCGTCTCTACTAAAAATAGAAAAAATTAGCCAGGTGTGGTGGCGGGCGCCTGTAGTCCCAGCTACTCGGCAGGCTGAGGCAGGAGAATGGCGTGAACCTGGGAGGCAGAGCTTGCAGTGAGCCGAGATCATGCCACTGCACTCCAGCCTGGGCGACAGAGCAAGACTCCGTCTCGCAAAAAAAAAAAAAAAAAAAAGAAGATTAATGATGGAGTTACAGGCTGTGTACACAGTGTGAGTGTATCAGCAGCAGGCTTTGTCCAGGGATTTACTGCCAAAGATTCAGTCTGGGTCCATGGTATGGCTATATCCGTTTCCGCCTGTAACAGAGGACTTGGGGCTGGAGATTCAGACTCTGTTCATATCTTTACAAGTGGAGGCTTAGATTGTATCATGGGATTTCCTGCTGGAAATTCAGCCTGGTTCCAAGTGATACTGATGGATATTTTGTTTGGGTCCACAGTTTGACTGTGCCAGGCAGAGGTTGTAACCAGAAACTGATCACTGGTAATTTTATCTGTGTCTATATTATGACTGTATCAGTTAGATCCTCTCTCCTGGCAATTATTACTAGAGATACAGCCATGTACTGCAGTGTGACTCTACCAGGTACAGCCACTGTTAAGGGATTTATTGCTGGCAACAGATCCTGGGCCTATGATGTGACTATTTCAGTTTTAGACTACCTCCGTGGATGTACTGCTACACAAACATCCTTAGCCAATGATGTCACTCTATCAAGTAGAGTGTATGTGCAGGGATTGTTGATTTTAGTGTGAGCCTGGGTCCACAGTATGAGAATTTCTGTCTCAAGCTTTGCGGAGGGATTTACTCCTACAGATTTAACTTGGTTCAGTAGCATAACTGTAGTAGATGTGGGATGTGTCCCCTCATTTACTTTTGGAGATTCAACCTCAGTCCACTGTGTGAACATATTGGTTTCATATTCTTTCCAGATATTTATGGCAGGTGATTTGACTTGGTTCCACAATTTGATTGTATAAGCTATTGCCTGTGTAAAATGCTTTAGTGCTGAAGACTTAGCCTAGGTCTATGGTATGAGTGTATCAGATATGGATTGGATCCAAGACTTTACTGTTAAAAATTCAAACTGAGTCCACAGTTTGTGTGTATCAGCTACAGGTTCTGTCCAGTAAACTACTGCTGGAGATTCAGCTTGAGGCCATGGTGTGTCTCTGTCATACATGGACTGTGTCCAAAGATTTACTGCTGGAGATTCAGACTGTGCCCATAGTGTGACAGTAGCAACCCAAGGCAGTATCCATGGATATCCTGAGGTTAATTCTGCCCCTTTCCATAGTGTGATGGTATCGGCTATGGATGTTCTCCAGGTATTTACTGATGGACATTCAACCTGGGTCCAAGGTACGATTACAGAAGGTGTAGGCTGTGTCCATGGAATTACTGCTGGAGATACTTCCTTGGCCCATGGTGTGACTGTGGAAGTTACAGTCTCTGTGCATGGATTTACTGTTGGAGACTCAGCTTGTGTCCACAGGATAAGGTTATGAGATTCAGGTAGTGTACACTGATTTACTGCTGAAGAGTCACCTTGGGCACATGGTTTGATTGTATAAGATACATACTGTGTTCATGGATTTATTGCTGGAAACATATCCTGTATCTATGGTATAGTACTATAAACAACAGACTTTGTCCAGGGATTTATTGCTGGAAATTCAGGCTAAATAATATAAAGAAGACATGGTCACTATCTATTGTTCACCTAATAAGTACCTGACACTATGCTAGGAACTAGGAGGTGGGTAGTGGGAATTAATGAGTCTGTCAGTCAATTGTTTTTATATATTTTATATATATATATTTATATGTGTGTATGTGGATAATTTCGATTATAATTACTGAGCATCTGCTGTGTGTCAAGCACTGTAATGGACACAACAGACTCAGTAGTATGCAAAACTAACACACACTTTGACCCCATGGAGTTTGCAATGTAACAAGGAAAGTATATGTGAAACTCAATGTTACAAAGAAGAATGCCAGAAGAGCAGGACAGCTTTCACGAAGAAAGAATTATTTCCGATGCTTATGAACTTCACCTACATTTTCAATCTTGTAAATATAAACATGCTGTTCTGTACACAAAATCCCACTGTGGACTCACAAGCACAGATAGGGTACACACAGGGATTGTTTTCCCACAGCTGAGATAAACTGACATTGAATATCAGCCACTCTCAGCTAATCTCTTAAATAGACATGCATACTTAAGGAATGCATGGACTAAATTAGCCTATGACACAGGGTGAAGACAATGTAACCCCAAATTAAATCAGCAACTTGTTCCCCCTTGGTTCACTTTAATTGTGCTAATTACCAAAAACCTGAGTATGTGGTCAAGCTGGGTACAGAAGGTGTTAGACAACTTCCATGTATTATTATTTATTTTTCAAGTCTCTAAACCTGAAAAGCAAAAAAGGCAGGTGCTGTTAATACCATTTTATGGATGAGGACACCAGGACTCATAGTTAATAGCCCACCCAAGATCAAAAATTCATAATAAGAGCTATTTCCAAACTTCAAAGCACAAATCTTTTGGCTATAAACTCTTGTCTCTTTGCTGAATCAGATTACATACTATTCATATACTTTGCATCATTACATAAAAGAAAACTGCTCAGTTATATGCACTTTAAGCCTTTTAGGTATATTCTATCAAAAAAACACAAGATCAATTCAGAAATAAAAATTGCATTAAAATTTATAAATTTGAGATATTTACTTGGTAGTATTCATGACTCAGAAAGTAGTAATGTAATGCATGCTTATCACAGATATTATTCACTATAAAATAATAAAATAGTGCATTCCTAGGTAAAATTCGAGCAAACTCCATCTCAAAAAAAAAATATACTCCCAGGTCTATAGAGAAAAATGCCAGTTTAAATTCAATTCTGCTTGCTCCCATAGAATAAAATAACCCTGTGCATTTAAATTACAAAAACAAGAGCCTTTCTGTTATGTAAATTTATGTCCCAAATGAGTGTAGTAGTTAGTGCACATACCACCACTGATATCTGTGGCTAGGTAACTGGAAATATGTAACCTGCAAATATCTATAATATTAATATTTATAATATCAAATACCTATAGTACAGAAAGCCAAACAAGAAGTATAGGTTGATAAAAAAAAAGAATAAACAGGCCACATGCATGACTGCAGCTCAATAAAGCATGCTGCTGTCATTTTGTGGTAGATTATAGTTTTACTGTAATTAAGTACCAAGAAACTCTAGAAGATGTAGGGTGCATTCATGCATGAGTGCATACACATGTATTTTTGTTTTCTCATTTTTATTGATAATAACAGTAATAATCATTGCAGAAAATTCAGAAACTGAGTTTATAAAGCTCTAAAAATTGTACAACCATTCAGAAGTAAATGCTACTGCCTTTTCCCCACATTTCCTTGCAGATCACCAATTGTATATCAGATTGTTTTATGTATTTATAATGATTATTTCCTCACTGCCATCTATTCTTTAGAATGTACTTGAATCACTCTACTATAATTCATTTAACTATTCCCTTTTTAAAAGAGGTTATGAATTTCCCTGGCTATTTTTCTTTTAAATTTTACAAATTCGATAGTTTGAAATAATAACTCAATGATTTATTTACATTGCATTTATTTGATTACCAGTGAGAGTGAACAAGCCTCTCAATGTTAATTGATTATTTTCATCCCTTTATTAGTTGGTTATTTGAGCATGTTCTTTATTTTATTTAGAACAGTATCTTCTTTCTCTAAAAACCACAACAACTACAGAAATTCAAAAGCACATTACTGAGGAAATGTATTCATATTTGGCAAATAAAATAACATGATCGTCTCATGACAACCCTTCCAATGTGATAACTTAGAAATAGTTTTTTTTTTCCTAAGTTGTCTTAAGTAAAAAATGTTGCCTTTCCAAACCTAGCTTCAGGGGTACAATAATAATAAAAATGCATTTGAATCCAAAATATGCAAGAACCATTGTGTCCAGCTCCTGCGGGTAGACAACGTAAGCTACTGAAATCTGTCTGATGCATAAAATGGGTTCTTTTTCCTCCTTAATGATTCATTCTGCTGGATTGTCATACTCATATTAACAGTTAAATATTTCTAAGTCATCCAGACAGGACTTATGAATCAGAATGTGATCTTCGTACCAGTGATTCATTTAATAAAATTATTTATGACACTACAGAATTGATATTTTGAAAAAGTATGAAAAAATATCTTACACAGCATAAATAAAAAATCTTTTTTACCATTATTACTTCTAATAATAACACCAAAATTTGCATTTATCTTATTTGACTTTCACAGCAATCCACAGACCTAGAAAGTAGAGGCATTTTCATACTATTTTTATAAAGAAAGAAAGCAATGCGCAAAAGGCATTGAGTAAAAACCCAAGGTCACATGGTTAATTAGTAACAATGAAGAGACTGCAAATTTACCCTTCTGTTTCTAAATCCTTTACTCCTATTTTCTTAACACTACTGACCCACCTTCCACACAATTATAGCATCATTGTCAGAGTTCTAGGTTTCTGTTAATACCCTATTTGTTCTACAGGTGATGTTCAACTACACCTCTCTGTTTACAACCAATCTATGAAAGGGCAAGACAGGAGCTTTCGAGTGAAAGCTTCTTAAGGAAACGTAGAGGATGTACTGTCCTTTCAAATAATATCTGCTCAGGATAAGTCTCTGGGTTAGCCTGATCTATTTTGTACTGTCATTCATCTGTAGCATTATTCATACAGTTCTCTGAGCCTGGAAGCCTGGAAGCCTGGAATGAATGCTTTAGTTCATTCTTTCTCTCTCCCTTCTTGCTTCTCTCTCTCTCTCTCTCTCTCTCCTCTGTCTCTCTTGTCAGTCTCTACCCACCCCATTCTCCAAGGCCTACCTCATATGCCATCAATCTTTCTCATTATCTTCCACAAATTGAATATGATAATTCTTGCCTCTGAACAAATACCACTAAGTAAATTTACCTTTTATGTTAAACCTATACAAGTTGTCTTACTCCCTTATCTGACTCTACTATAATTCATTTAACTATTCCCTTTTTAAAAGAGGTTATGAATTTGCCTGGCTATTCATAGTCCTGTTTTAAATGACTTATGGTTGTGCCTCACATGTGAAAGTGTGCAATATCATTAAGAAAAATCATGTACAGATACACATCTGAGGAGGTATTGGCATAGACAATTGATATAGGCATATGAGCCTCTAAAATGGGTTAATGTCACAGAACCAGAACTATCTATAAGTATCAAAGTACAACCTACTTTCCTAATTGTAGCATGTAGCTGAGAACAACCTCCAAAGACGTGAATAATTTGCACTGGGGCCCTTCAGAACCTGATTACGCTTCCAAAATGCATCCAGCTTTGACTTTAATGACAACTTCAATTATTATTTCTCTAAATTCAGTGATGGCAAGGTGTGTGATTGCCTCCTTCTAATTGCTTTCTTCTAACAGCTTTCTGCCTGTTTGAATATGTCCCACAGCATAAGTTATGCATATTTCAGCAATAGAAGCAAAAAACACTTGTGCCCAAATGACATTCTCGACTGACTTCACAATCTGCTCCAGGATTTACTCTAGGTGTTGCATCCCTAACATAGATCTTCCATACTGAACAGCTTCAATCTCTTCCAGTACATAGTACTGGAGTTTTAAATAACTGCTCGAAAGTCAACTGTGGTATGATCAAGACCCTAAGCAAGAAATTACGTGTAAAGAAAAGATTTCTTCTCCTTCCTAGCCCTGTTAATTCATCAGCAAATGTAAGGAATTATAAAATAGGAAGGGTTTCCAAGTCTTACTGTGCAGAATCACCTGGGAAGTTTTCATTTTTATAAAAAACAGTTTTTTTGTCCTCATCCCGGTTCCATAGAATGAAAATGTCCAGGGATCATTCTAATATTTCTAGTCCATAGATCCCTGTTGAGATACAATAGATTAAATGGTCTCTAAGGTCTCAGGCATCACTAGAATTGTATAATCCATGAATATTTATGAAATCCTAATGATAATAAGAAAATGCTTTTTCATCCATCTAGAACCATCAGGCAAGGAATGTTCAACTGAGTATCAGTAGACTTGGAATAAATTGTGGCTTTTTCTTGACTTTGTAATCTCAGAAAAGTCCTTTCCTCTTAGGGCTTCAGTTTTCTCATGTATAAAATAAAATAATTGGATCAAAGCATAATCTAATCTGTGATGCCTTGTAAATTGTGCCTGCAGAAGTTCAAATAAGATAGATGAGGATAAGGCTAACACAAAGACTTGTGCCACCAGGGGAAAGGCTGTTGATATCTCACACGGGTATATTCATTATCATGATGCCAACACCTGAGATCTACTCTGCAGCCTTTTTGACTCAGTGATCTAAGTTATCAGCACTCAGAGAGTGGGTAGATTCACATTGTGCTGGCTCACAAGACTGATCAGAAATACAAATAATTAGTTTGCAGTGAAAAACAGGACTATGATAATAACTAGGCACTGTAGATGAGGCATCTTTTTTTTCTATGGACTTTCTCTATGTAAAAGATACAGCATGGAAAGCTACCTGTAATGAAAATGCCAGGAACTTATTTATAATGAAAAAAACATAACTGAAAGAGAAATAGGCAATAAATTACTTTGGTGAGAGCAGTCTCTTTTTGAAAGTAAGATCTACTTAGAAAGACCCATAACCGACAGTATTCTTTTGGTGAGCCTAGAGCCATAGCAAAGGGAGTTAGAGGAATTAGCAAAAAAATGTGAGTACATCTCTTACTGTTTTGATTTCAACTCCCTTTACCCTTTCCCAAATTAGCTCAGAAACTTCCACAAACCTAGACTTGCAGGAAGTATTCAATAAGGATCTGCCTTTCAGAAGCTGAAAAAGACAAATAGGGCAGCAATGAGGTAGGGTGAAGTAGTAATGAGAAATAAGTTTAAGGACAAATCATATAGAACTCCAAATTCCATAACAATGAGTATAAACCGAATTTGTAGGCATGACAAGCTATAGAAATCAAATTTCAGTTAAGTGGCATGTCTGACATACAACTGAACTGGAGTCAATTGGTGATGTCTTGAAAAGTTAGAATGAATATGGAACTCTATCCAATATATGGCTAGTGGTTAGAGCATTCAAGTGTGTTCATGTGACATTCAGTCAAAATCTAGTAGCAACATAGAGTATTTTCAAAGGGATAGATTTTGGGAGCGAGTATAATTCAAAGAGAGATCTCGATTTCAAGTTAAGTAAAATATTAATGTACATGTTAACTTAGTGAACTCCCACTGGACAGAAAATGGCATAATAACTTCAATGGTCAAAAACACATCACATGTATAAAAATAAATAAATTGAGAGTGATAAAAACTTATTAGATACCATGGGAAGTTGCTAAGGTATCAACCCATTTTTCTGAAAACAGATGAAGTGGAAAACTTAAGCATTCACCTTCCCTTTCCAGATGAAGTGCATTTTAAGATAAGCTAATTACTGAGGAGAGAAAGTTGTCCTTTGTTGAACTGATGGATTCAAAAGGAATGATAGAACAAGAAAATCTCCATTTTATATCCCCTAAAGGCATAATGTACCTTGACAACAATAATCACTTAATTCTAAAAACCTTAGTTGAATTGTTGGTGAGAAATTTGGTGATGGAAGGGTCAGGTTGACATAATCTGAACCCACAATAACAGTTTTCATTACTGGAAAAAGGACAATCAGACATTATGTGCCTCCAAGGTAATGTAATGAAAAGTACACACCACCGCTCACTAAATATTCTTGCCTAAAATTGGACCAAAATACAATTAAGGCTCTATAGCTACACACAATTTTATGGGAAATACCAGAAAAAGAGGAATATATTAAATGAGGTCATGAGGAACCAATCTGTGATATTCAGAATGTGGGATGATCTATAGGATAAATGGTCTGGTTTCTCTCTCAATCAGTTGCATGATCTGAGGGATATTTGTGTATAGATAATATTAGATGGTGTTAAAGAATTTAATTTTCTTAGGATAATAAGTTAATGTTATGAAGTATGATAATGACATGGTGATATGTAAAATCTATTTAAAATATTATTGTCAGAGATGTGCATTTAAGTATTTTCTGGTAAAATAACATAATGCTGTAATATTTTATAAACCCTTCTCAAATAAAATTAAAAGAGTAGTTGGATGATAGAAGGCTCAAAATTCCAAGATAGTGATGGTTGTTGACTGCATGATGTATACATCATAACTAATTACTGTTCTCTTTACTTTTGTGTGGATTCAAAAATTTGCATAATAAAATGTTTTTTAAAATTACTGAATATGAATTGATCAGATTAGAGAAGAACAGGTGGACAACACCTTTCCAAGAGTTACTACAGAGTAGCAAATCAGGGATGCCCCTTCTAAAAATCGTAATGCCATGCAGAACTTCCTCTAACATAGCACTTATCACTCTATATAATGCTTACCTACTTGAATGCCAGTTTCCATATATTATGTGCTGCTTATTCTTTAGTTTTTGCTATAGATTGATTCTCTATCTATTTCCATGTTGTACTATTTTCCATGAATCTGGCCTGCTTGGGCTTCTTTACCCTCTAGCTTCCAACTAGATTTGGCCAAAGGAAAATACTGTCAAGATATCTGAGGGTGGAAGAAGAGAATGAAGTACTAATTCCTTTGTTTCCTTCTCTTATAGGCTGCAAGTTGTCTGGGCTGATTTGTCTATCTGTTAATAGCTCCCGTGGTCAAAACTTTCACACAGATACAACTTTCACTGCATGCTCCAGAAAGTATTTCCTCCCTTTGCCTCTTTAGGCCTAGGAGTAGTAGTAACTTTTGAGTATGCCATCTGTTTTTTGCTAAGACCCTGACTGATATCGACTATAAGATCCAATAAAGCTTACAAATTGTCTCACTGTCTTTTGTTCATTGTGATACCTACAATATATGACTGCCTGCCATCTAGGAGAGAAAAAATAAATATTAGTTAAAAGAAAAAGAAAAATAGAAGGATATGAATAAAATCCCACATTAATTTCCAATTAAAAAAAGTAACTGAGAAATAGAAAAATACATGCCTATTGTTTTCTTTTAAAAAGAGTCCATTCATTAGTCAGTTTCATGTTAAAATTGAAAAAATTAGCCATTGTATTTAAAATGTCATGACAAAGATAAAAAGACATGTTATAAAAATCAAAAACAGTGTTCTCAAATTATCATTATTTTCAAGTCATGTATTTTTACTCTGATAAAATCCTAGTAAAACAATGTCACCTCTTCCAAATAAATAAATAAGTGCAATGAAACTCTGTTTTATAAATTGACAAAATTATTCTAAAGTTCTCATGGGAGAATAAATACATGAAATTAGATAAATTTCAAAAGAGTAAGTGGTGGGGAATTAGCTTCACTAAATAAATATATATATAATTAAAACAAGATATTTATTAGAAGAATTCTCCTCCTGATAATGGTGAACTAATGATTTGTAATTAACCACTCTAAGAACAGGTAGAAAACTTGTACTATGGTAAATAAATGCTATATATATATATACATATATATATATATATATATACACATATATATACACACACATATATAGATATAGATATTTTCAATGTATGATTGCTCTATCAGAATATCTAAGAACAACTAGAAAACGTATACTATATATATGCTAAATAGCTTACATATACATATATAATATTTATATATAAGTAATATATATGTATAATATTTTCAACTTAAAATAGGTTTATCTGAATGTAACCCAATCATAAATCAAGGAGCATATTAAGTGTCACATCTGTAGCAACATAAAGTAAAAAAACAAAATTGTAAGCCAAGACTATTATAAGCCAGGAAACACTTGTACTTTAGGCAAGTATAAAGCAAATGATAAGTAATCACAAATATAAAATTAATTACATTAAATGTAAATTCAATAAATATTTCAACTAAAAACTAAGGTCATCAGGATAAAAGGAACAAAGAAAATTATAACTAAGTGGTGCTAATAAAAGTTATATTTTAAACATATGGCTATAGAAACTTTTAAAGTAAAAGTTTGTGAAAAATATATTACTGAAATAGTAACCAACAGCAAGTTAGTGTAGCTATATAAAAAGAAAATAGACATTAGGAAAATTAATTACCATACACTAATTCTAAATGCATATGCATCTAATGACATATTCTTAAAATATAAAGAGCAAACATGACCAAATTAAAGAACATATAGGCAAATACAGAATTATAAATAAATTTTTAAACACATCTCAGTAACTGATGTAACTATCAGGAAAGATTCTTCTTGATGTAATTGACATGTGTAGAACACTGTGCCCAACAATGTCAGGATAAATATTATTTTAAAGGGAACAAGGAGCATTTTCCAAAACTGTACACATGCTGTTCCATAGATCAACTTTCAATGAATTTTCAAGAAATGAAAGTCATGTAAAACACTCTCTCTGCCCAGAGTGATATAAAGCAATAAATAAGTAAGTACTCAAATGTGTGAGCTTTAAGTAATGGACTTTAAAATTACCCATTATTTAAAGGAGAAATCATGATAGAATTTAGAATGTATTTGGAACTGAATAATATTAAAGATGCTATACATCGAAAGGTAAGACAATATTAAAACTATGCTTACAGGAAAATTTAAGCCATATATGTGCGTATCAGGCATAAGCATCCATCACAAGAAGTTATTAAAGGAACAGCAAATTAAACACAAAGGACGGTCTCAAGTAAAAACAAAATGCTACTAAAACTTAGCTTCTTTTTGCCCTTGAATTAACAAGTAAGATCCAAAATGTTTATAAAGAGGCTATAATTACTGTCCAGGCCAAAGATAGCTTCAGATAATTGACATCAGATATCAACTTTCAGTCCTCACTAAAGATCACCATTTATGGCCTGTATAAACAACCACCTACCTACCCGTCACCACCACTTCACCACCTCTAACCAAAGACTGGAGCAGGTAAAGGAAAAAGAGTCAACAGTGTCATTGGCCTTGTGAGTAATGTGGAATTTATGCTTAGATGTTTTACTTTCACGACTTCAGCATTTGGGGAGGGCCGTTACATTCTCTTTTCCTGGTAGTTAGACAAGGGGAGGCTACAAGAAAGTTAATCATAAAGATTGGCAGTGTCTACTCAAAGGAGACTGCCACTTCTTGCCTCAGATGAAAATTTGCAGAACTGACAAATCTTCAGTGCCATCTGCTGCTACCAAACAAGTGAGATGAATGTTCTAAGAAGATTCTTTTTAACTATTATATATACATAATAGTTGTACATATTTATGGAATACATGTGATATTTGATACAGGCATACAATGTGTAATGATCAAATCACAGTAATTGGGGTATCCATTTCCTAAACTATTTATTATATCTTTGTGTTAGGAACATTCCAGTTCTGCTCTTTTAGTTATTTTCAAATATACAATAAATTACTGTGGGTTTCTTCGTTGAGACAAGGTCTCACTATGTTGTCCAAGGTAAAGTGTAGTGGTGCAATCTTGGCTCACTGCAGCCTCCACCTCCAAGTCTCAAGTTATCCTCCCACCTTGGCTTTCTGAGTAGGTGGGACTAAAAGTGCATGCCACAATGCCTGGCTAATTTTTTGTATTCTTTATAGAGACAGGGTTATGCCTTTTTGCCCAGGCTGGTCTCGAACTCTGAGCTCAAGTGATCCACTTACCTTGGCCTCCCAAAGTGCTGGGATTACAGGTGTGAGACACCGTTCCTGGCCTAAATTATTGTTGACTCTCTTCTCTCCGTTGTGCTACCAAACACTACATCTGATTCCCTCTATCTATCTGTATGCTTGTACCCATTAGCCATCCCTTCTTCATTACTCTTCCTCCTACCATCCCCAGCATCTGATAATTATCACTCTACTCTCTATCTCCATGAGACCAATGTTTTCCTCTCCAATATGTGAGTAAGAACATGCAATATTTGTCTTCCTGTGCCTTCCTTATTTCACTTAACAAAATGTCACCTAGTTCCACCCATGTTGTTGAAAATGACAGAATTTTCTTTTTCTGCCTGAATAATATTCAATTTTGTGTTTTTACCATATTTTCTTTATCCATTCATCCATTTGTGGGCACTTCGGTTAATCCCATATCTTGGCTTTTTGTGAATAGTGCTGCAACAAATATGAGAGTGAAGATAAACTTTTTAATTGTGACAAGGTCTCACTGTGTTTTCCAGGCTAAAGTGCAGTGGTACAATCTTGGCTCATTGTAGCCTCTACCTCCAAGGCTCAAGTTATCCTCCCACCTCAGCTTCAATAGTAGATGGGACTACAGATGCACACCATGATGCCCGGCTAATTTTTTGTGCTTTTTATAGAGAGAGCATTTTGCGGTGTTGCCTAAGCTGGTCTCAAACTCCTGGACTCAATATACTGAATTCTTTTATTTTGGATATGTACCAACCAGTGAGATATCTGGATCACATCATAGTTCTATGATTAGTTCTTCTGAGGAATCCTCATATTCTCCATAGAGTCTCAACTATTTTCCATTCTGTAAGGAGATTCTTGATAGAACTTGACATGTATGTGAACATGAAAACTAGTGTCTACATTTCTGAATATTTCCAAAGGTTAAGAAATTGGTAGAATAGTAACCAATACAAGACAGGCAAGAAAGAACTGCAGGGCAATAGGACAATAAATTGTCAGGGAAGGAGGGGTGTGGAGTGATAAGACAGCATCAGACAGTTCCTTCATAGTTCTCATAGCTACAGGTGAAGGAGCAAAAAGGATAGTATGGAACAGGTTCCATTGGGTGACCCAAGCAAACACCAATTTATGAGATGCGCTACCTAGAGCAAGAGTTGATGGGTACACTGCTGACAATATGCTTTCACAGGGGTCCAAAGGAAACGTGGGTCTCTCTCTCTCTCTCTCTCTCTCTCTCTCTCTCTCATGGTTTCAGGTTCATGGACCTGAAATATGGCTGATGAACATCCAAAGAAAGTACACATATTAACTGTGAGAAAACAGTAACACTAGAATAGGCCACCAGTAGATGAAAACAGACTAAAGAGGAGCAAGAACAAGAATGTTTTCTGTCCACCTAGAGTGAACCCTGGTGCACTGGTCTCTCCTTGTGCTTTTCCCCCTGGAAAAGTCAGACTCGGGAAACAGGGAGAGAACATATCCCTGGTCCTGCCTAAAGGTGGTATGAACAGCGAGGTAAAAGAGCAGACTACTCTTTCCTCTGGGTATATGTGACCTCAAACTAAAGATATGAGAAAGAGAGAAGTTGAAATTAGATTTGAATTGAGTTAGAGATTGAATTGCAAACTCTGGGATTTAAAGGAAAGAAAGTGGTGGAATTTACCCTAGATAGCATTTATGGATGTCATCCAAAAGTTAAAAGCAGTGATTTTTTAAAAAGCAGAACCATTTCATCTTCTCTCCATTAGGCTGGCACTTCTTAATAAATTTATTATGTTTATTATATTCAGTGAAAAGAAAACTCACTGCATATAAACACACATACAAGGTTATAGTAAACCTCTGATATGTATAAATAAATATATATATCTACACCTGTGTCTGTACATCAATTCTTGGGTAAGGAAGTCATGTGCATGTCATCTTTCTTTTTCTTGGTTTTTTTTTTTTTTGACATGGAGTCTCACTCTGTCACCAAGGCTGGAGTGCAATGGTGCTATCTCAGCTCACTGCAACCTCTGCCTCCTAGGTTCAAGCAATTCTCCTGTCTCAGCCTCCCAAGTAGCTGAGACTACAGGGGCCTCCCACCTGCCTGGTTAATTTTTGTATTTTTAGTAGATATGGGGTTGTTGGTCAGGCTGGTCTCGAACTCCTGACCTCAGGTGATCCACCTGCCTCGGCTTCCCAAAGTGCTGTGATTACAGGCATGAGCCACTGCACCTGCCTGTGTGCAGTCTTTCTATCTCCTTTTTGACACATACAAATGGGCATTGGTCCAGGAGCACTTCCTTACGAAGAGATAAAGAATCCCCACAGCCTGTCCTACACTTGTCACCTTGCTTGGGGGTATTTTTCTGTTTTAGACTCAATGTTCACTCCTTTGGACTGGCCAACCCCAGCGGGGAGAAGGTAAAGTCCTTCTGCTGTGACACAAGAGGGGTGTGTGGAGGCCAATTGCCTGTGTCAACGGCCAAGAGGGACCCACTGGCCATGGGGGAATGGCACCCACTACTGAAGCTGATCTTTCTTTGTTTCTTCTCTATGCACCAGTGCTTGACTGCCTTGTGTTTTCCTCAGTGACTCCAATACCAAGAGGTAGTGGGTAGGAGTGCTCAGACTTTCACTCTTGATAATAAGCAGCAGATGCAACTTGCTCAACATGAAAATAATAATCAGTAGACAAACCATATGCATAAATACAAACTAAGAATGAAGTGACACTACTGTTTGGGAAACACTCTGTGGTGATAGCTACTGTTTTCAATGCTTATTTAATTATCACTACAACCTTGTGTTGTAGGTACTACTCTTTAGCAGTGAAAGCAGAGGTTCCAGTTGGTCAAGTGATTTATGTGAAGACTCATACCTTGTGTGTAGTAAAAGTTAGATATGAATTCAATTTATTCTCACCCCAAAGCCCATGCAATAAATCATTTGAAAATGGAAGATATCTTTTCAGTTTTGAGCAACCTGGCTGGAAACCACATGGCCACATCTGAGTTTAGCTCATCCTCAATCCCTTTTCCCTTAACAAGGAAGAGGTAATATAGTTGTCTTTTCCAATGTGGAATGTATGTTTCTGGAAAAAGAGACAGAGTCTGCACAATGCAGTTCCTGTTTCCTCTAGATCAAGTGTTGGCCCCCCTGTGACCTATGTGTTAAACTCTGCCTACTCTCTCTTTGTGTATGCTTTGTGAGACAAGAATAAATTTTTACATATTTCAATGTTTAAAAAAGTCAAAAATGAATAGTATTGTGATGTGAAAAGTACAGAAGATTCATATGTCATTGTTTATAAATCAAGTTTTGTGGGAACACAGTCACACTAATTCTTTTACATATTGTCTATGGCTGCTTTTGTGTTGCATCAATACAGCTGGGTAGCTGAACAAAAGACCCTAAGGCCTGTCAGGCATACCTGGCCCTTTACAGAAGGAGATTGTCAACCTCACCCTTAACAGTACTTGATAATAGTTGCTTTAAAAGAGGATGGGTAAGGGGTTCTGCCATCAAATATTTTATTTTTCACTTATAGTTTTTCCATATTTATGGACATTGTAAAGTATCAGAAAAGTCCTGCAATGTTAAGAACTTATTTTGTCATGAAAAACCTTTCTTTTCTTTTTTTCTTGTCTTTCTTTTTTTTCCCCAACACTTACATTTCTTAGCTCCCCATAAAATAAAATCTGAAAAATACCATTTTGAAAAGGCTGCAGTAGCTCATCACTGGCATATCCTTTTCCTTTCACTCTTTTGTTTTCCCCCTCATAAGTCACCGTAGATCTTTCTTCTACTGTTATGATATTACATAAAATGGGACAATTAGCTCACAACTTATTTGCATTGGTTTAGTGTGTAGCCTTTATAATTTTTTTAAACTAAGAAAATAAATAATGAAATAACACACCAATTACTGAGGCTTAACTGGCTACTGAATTTGGATAAATTTTATTAGAAGATAATCAGCTATGTATTTCTCACATGCCACAATGAGGAAACTACAATGAAAGGTTAGAATTACAAATGTTAATATTTTACTGAATCATTACTTGTCACATTCGGAAGTTGATGCAACCTGATTTTACTGTGTAAGTGGTGTTTATTTTTATGAACTATATATAGATTGGTTCTGTACAAACTTTGATGGAGAGAGTAAAAAATTATGGTAATTTTCTTTTTGTGTATGACTTTAGGGAATCTAATTTTATGAAGTCACTAGTAGAAATTAAATTAACATATGAACATTTTATTTTAATAATACCAGGGAACTACCTAATGGAAATGTGTTGTATAAATTAATTTAACTACCTCCTTATTTCAACTGCTTTTGAAGGAAATAACTCTGAGGCCTTCTGAGACCACTAGGGGCATTTCACAAGGGGGTCATCTGGGACAGTCACATTAGAAGCCTTCCAAATTAGATGGTAACCTCATGGAAGACAAGTTTCATGCTTTATATAACCTTGAAGCTCCTTCATTGCTTAGCACAGCAGAAAACAGAAGGCAAGTACTCAATCATTTGAGTATTTAAAAAATTTCAGATTTTCTTTTTATGCTAACTTCAAATGAATATTACCATAACACATTAGGTTTAAGAAAAATGACTTGCTACAAACTTTTAGAATTCTGGGCCACATAAAAGTGTGACTTGTTAGTGCTACCTAGTCATACATTCTCTATGCATGTTCCTTAATATTGTTATATTATTTTATGAAATAAAGGCTGGTGATTTCTTAACAGGTTTCTTTTCCATTAAATATCTTCTATCTTACACATATTGGTATATATCTCTCTTCTTTTGAAAATAAAAACAAAATAATGTACAGATAAAAACAGCTATTGTATTTGGCTTAGTTGGAAGGCCTTTATTTGTTCTTACTATATTTTTAGAAATTTGTATAGGAGATATGCCTCATGGCATATAATGATGTATACGCATTAATCTATAAATGGTACATTGTCTCATAGACATTACAATATTGTAGAGGTTATTGGATCGGTTTCCAAATGTTTCCATACATGTTGTTCTAAGTGAATAAAGACAAGAATGAATAAATTAATAACTGAATATTATCTCAGTTGAGAATTGGATTTTCAGTAAGTCTCTGATCAATGTTATTTTAGAGGTCTTAGGAGGAAAATTAATGAAGATATTGTAACTGTACTCTTCCTTTTCAGAGCATTTTGATAATCATTTGTATGAGGAAAGCCAGACATTTATTATGTTATATACGGAACATTCTTTTTTTAATTTCTCTACATATGGGAAAGATCATTATTGGCTCAAAATTATGGAACACGAGGGAGTGGTAGATATTGGCTTAATGACAGAGCAATATTCATCTACAAAAACCACTTGTCACATCCTGGGTTAAGCTATCTAGAAAAAGGCAATCCCAGCAACATTGTTAATTAATACTATATAGAGACCAGTGCAAGTATGGATTGGGTATATTAAAATAGGCTTAATAACATCTTACTTACTCATAACTTTCAGTTATCTATTGGCTACAGGATGTAGAAGTTTGATCAGAAGCACAGAATTGTTAGCACAAATTACTTCAAGAAGAAGAGTGAAAAGAGTTGGCATTCCTCAACCCAATTTATGGTAGAAAACTTGTCTTAACACTAGATCCCTCTGACACCCACACTCAGCTGTGTCTCACTCAGATTCCATGTCAAGCTTGTGG
This sequence comes from Homo sapiens, assembly GCF_000001405.40. NCBI lineage: Eukaryota > Metazoa > Chordata > Mammalia > Primates > Hominidae > Homo > Homo sapiens. Next base: position 8,875,210 of record NC_000024.10, on the reverse strand, counting down.
CTGTGTTTTCATTTGATTTTGGAGAAAAGGAGTTACATGAATGATCTGTGTTGGAGTGGTGTAGCATGGAATTTCTCAGCATTTTAAAAGAACATTTAAGTATTTTTAAAAGTTGAAGAAGAATTTGACTGTAGATGAGGAGTGTCAATGCCTCTGGGGGTTAAGAAAAAGACAAGCAAATACGTGCACATCTGATATTAAGATATTTAGGTCATGACATGTAGGTCTGTGTAGCCTGGCTATAAATAATAAGGGAGTTAATGCACCATCCCTGGGCTCAAAGTGACTATTTCACCTTGGGCAATTCACCTGTACTTTTTGAGCCTCAAATTGCACATCTCGAAAATGAAAGCTGGAAAGAAGGTTGTTATGAAGATTAAATTAGATAATGTACATAATGGGCTTACAAAAGTTAATGACGCCTTGTCAGAAATCATCAGCAAAATGTACTATTATCACTATCATCATCATCATCATCATCATCATTATCATCATCATCATCATCATCATCATTTAGAGGTATACTATGAGAAAAATGGTTTGGAGCCAAATTGTAACTGACTCTGAAATAATTGATAAAGAATTTGCCTTCTATTCTATACAATAAGGAGCTTTTGTCTGTTTTGAGAAGTGAAGCAAGAAAAAATTTTAAAAAAGGTGAAATAAAATTATATACTCTCACTGAAGAAACGCTCAGCAAGGAAATAAAAAAAAAACTCTGTTCTTTAAGGCAATGAACATAGACTTGTCTCCAATTAGAAACTCAATTTAAATATTAATAGATCATATCTTGGCTGTGTCTCTCAAGTTCCATTTCTTTGTTTCTCAGTTACAGTCTCTGTTAATACCATTGTTTGCAACATGCCAGTGAAATATCATTCTTTGTACATCCATAGTGGTTTCTCTGTGGTATGCAAATAGAAATATGATAAAAGAAAAACTCTGAAGATTGACAGTCAAATTCAAAATCAAGACTCTATAACGACTTCAAGAGACCTCAAGAAATGTATTCTTGTTTCACTGCAGCCATCATAAATACCATATTTGATCACAATTGTATTTGCTTATTGAGGTTTACTTGGTTTAATAAAGTATTCATTCTAGCAGAGAAAAACTTGTTAAATGCCATAAATACTCAGAGCTTGGTTCTCTCTTTAAGAATTTTTTGTTTCCAGACCTATCACAAACACAATAAGATCATTCGTTAATCTCTTCAAGTTTGTGAGTGTGTGTGTGTTTTTAAGAATCACTGTTAAAATCCTCAGTAAAATACTGGCGAACCAAATCCAGCAGCACATCAAAAAGCTTATCCACCATGATCAAGAGGGCTTCATCCCGGGGATGCAAGGCTGGTTCAACATAGGCAGATCAATAAACGTAATCCAACACATAAACAGAACCAAAGACAAAAACCACATGATTATCTCAATAGATAGATGCAGAAAAGGCCTTTGACAAAATTCAACAGCACTTCATGCCAGAAACTCTCAATAAATTAGGCATTGATGGAATGTATCTCAAAATAATAAGAGCTGACTATGACAAACCCCCAGCCAATATCATACTGAGTGGGCAAAAACTGGAAGCATTCCCTTTGAAAACTGGCACAAGACAGGGATGCCCTCTCTCACCACTCCTATTCCACATAGTGTTGGAAGTTCAGGCCAGGACAATCAGGCAGGAGAAAGATATAAAGCATATTCAATTAGGAAAAGAGGAAGTCAAATTTTCCCTGTTCACAGATGACATGATTGTATATCTAGAAAACCTCAGGGTCTAAGCCCAAAATCTCCTTAAGCTGATAAGCAAATTCAGCAAAGTCTCAGGATACAAAATCAATCTGCAAAAATCACAAGCATTCTTATACACAAATAACAGACAAACAGAAAGCCAAATCATGAGTGAACTCCCGTTCACAATTGCTTCAAAGAGAATAAAATACCTAGGAATCCAACTTACAAGGGATGTGAAGGACCTCTTCAAGGAGAACTACAAACCACTGCTCAGTGAAATAAAAGAGGACACAAACAAATGGAATAACATTCCATGCTCATGTATAGGAAGACTCAATATCGTGAAAATGGCCATACTGCCCAAGGTAATTTATAGATTCAATGCCATCGCCCTAGAGCTACCAATGACTTTCTTCACAGAATTGGAAAAAACTACTTTAAAGTTCATATGGAACCAAAAAAGAGTCTGCATTGCCAAGTCCATCTTAAACCAAAAGAACAAAGCTGGAGGCATCACACTACCTGACTTCAAACTATGCTTCAAGGCTACAGTAACCAAAACAGCATGGTACTGGTACCAAAACAGAGATATAGACCAATGGAACAGAACAGAGCCCTCAGAAATAATACCACACATCTACAACTATCTGATCTTTGACAAACCTGACAAAAACAAGAAATTGGGAAAGGATTCCCTCTTTAACAAATGGTGTTGGGAAAACAGGTTAGCCATATGTAGAAAGCTGAAACTGGATCCCTTCCTTCCAACTTCTACAAAAATTAATTCAAAATGAACTAAAGACTTACATGTTAGACCTAAAACCATAAAAAAAAAAAAAAAAACAAAAAAAAAACAGAATAAAACCTAGGCAATACCATTCAGGACATAGGCGTGGGCAAGGACTTCATGTCTAAAACACGAAAAGCAATGAAACAAAAGCCAAAATTGACAAATGGGTTCTAATTAAAGGAAAGAGCTTCTGTGCAGCAAAAGAAACTACCATCAAAGTGAATGGACAACCTACAGAATGGGAGAAAATTTTTGCAACCAACTCATCTGACAAATGACTAATATCCAGAATCTACCAGGAACTTAAACAAATTTAGAAGAAAAAAACAAACAACTCCATCAACTAGTAGGCAAAGGATATGAACAGACATTTCTGAAAAGAAGACATTTATGCAGCCAACAGACACAAGAGAAAATGCTCATCATCACTGACCATCAGAGAAATGCAAATCAAAACCACAGTGAGATACTGTCTCATACCAGTTAGAATGGCAATCATTAGAAAGTCAGGAAACAGCAGGTGCTGGAGAGGATGTGGAGAAATAGGAACAGTTTTACATTGTTGGTGGGTCTGTAAACTAGTTCAACCATTGTGGAAGACAGTGTGGTGATTCCTCAGGGATCTAGAACTAGAAATACCATTTGACCCAGCCATCCAATTACTGGGTATATTCCCAAAGTATTATAAATCATGCTGTTATAAAGACAGATGCACACATATGTTTATTGTGGCACAATTCACAATAGCAAAGACATGGAACCAACCCAAATGTCCAACAATGATAGACTGGATTAAGAAAATGTGGCACATATACACCATGGAATATGATGCAGCCACAAAAAAGGTTGAGTTCATGTCCTTTGTAGGGACATGGATGAAACTGGAAACCATCATTCTCAGCAAACTATTGCAAGGATAAAAAACCAATCATCACATGTTCTCACTCATAGGTGGGAAGTGAATGATGAGAACACATGGACACAGGAAAGCGGACATCACACACAGGGACCTATTGTAGGGTTGGGGGAGGGATAGCATTAGGAGATATATCTAATGTAAATGATGAGTTAATGGGTGCAGCACATCAACATGGCACATGCATACATATGTAACAAACCTGCATGTTGTGCATATGTACCCTAGAACTTAAAGTATAATAATAAAAAAGGAATAAAAAAGAATCACTTTTGAAATGGGAAATTACAAAGAAAGTTAACAGATTTCATTTATAGCAGGACAAGCCACAGACAGAACTCCTCAGACACAGGATTACAGAAGGAAGAGGTTTGTATTCAGCGGGGAGCGTCAGCAGACTCATGTCTTAAGAGCCGAGCTCCCCAAAAAAGAAATTCCTGTCCTTTTAAGGGCTTACAACTCTAAGGGGTCCACGTGAAAGGGTCATCATAGATCAAGTAAGCATGAGGAACATGACTGGAGGCTACATACATCAGCTGACAGAACAAAAAGTTTTACAGTGATTTCTCATACAATGTCTGGAATTTACAGATAACACGAGTAGTTTTGGTCAGGGGTTATTATTATTATTATTATTATTATTATTATTATTATTATTTTAACCACCAGGGCCAGGTGTTGGTGCCAAGTTCATCTAGCTATTTATCTTACTTCTGTTTCTTTCCAACTTTTTGGTTTCTCCCTTTTCTCCTGCCTTATAAACTAGACAAAAGGGGAGGTGGGGGAGAAGCTGGGAAGGACAACAGGAGAAGTGGTGGTCTCATTCCATATTTCCCCCCTTTGAGAACATTTACTTTCTTAGTGGGAGTTCTCACTTTCATCCTCACATTCTGAGTCTCTTCATGAGATAAAGCGATAGTGATTCATATAATACACGTGTGCTGAAGTTTTCTGATGAAACAAAGTAGCAACAAAACCTGTATCATTTGAAAAAGCAAGGGTAATACACAAGGGAGCAGCAAGCAAGTTCCTATTACTAACAATACACCTATAATGAGGGTTTTAAATCCTCCTATAGCTGGAAACCATTTTCCAAATAAAGACCCAGGATCAAGCTCATGCCAAATCTGTACAGGCACATGTGCCAACTTTGTCATGTCCTTGACTATGTTTTCAGCCACCTGTCCTTGATCATCTGTTTGTAGGCAGCAATTGATTGAGTTAAATTTTCCACAGACTCCTCCTTCAGCTGCCAGCAAGTAGTCCAAGGCCAGTCTATTCTGATAGATAGCATTCCTCATTTGGGTTTCCTGCTGAGCTAAAACAGTCAAAGCTCTGCCAGTTTCATTATCACTTATTTTTAAGATGGCCTGAAACCATATGATATGATTGAGCATGTATATGGGTGTTCGGTATCCCAATGAGCCATCTTGTGCCCATGTGGCAGGCCCATAATACTGTATGATCCTTTCAGAGGGCCACTCGTTATCTTTCTAGTTTCTATAACTATGCCTCTCTTTTCTCAGGAGGCGTAGACAGGGAAACCTAGAAGATCACCCATTTTTATGGGTAATAAGTAAAAGGATGGCTTAATAGCGCCAATAGCACAACTGCCTGCCTGTGTGTTAGGTAACCGAATGTAGGCTCTGTGCCCACATATCCAGTATAGTCCAGCGGGAGCTGTCCAGTGCTGGTGAGATTCTGGATGAGCCCAGGCAGTTTTTAATTTAGAAAATTTACTAAATGGGTTATTTTCAGTGTGATTTAGTGCCCAACAAGTAATTGTCTTTGTTGTGCTGTTGTACAACTTCTGTCCTATACAATTAAGCTTTCCCACAGGGATGATAAAGTCTTTTCCTTCTCTGGCTATACAGTATTGTCCAATAATTGAGGTTTTTAGGACCCAGAAGTTGCTAGCTTTGGCCTTCTGAACTGGAATTATATCAGGAGCTGGATCAGTGGGTACCAACTCTCGGGCTTCCCAAGGCCATTGGTCTCTGATAGTGGTTCCCTCACATACAGAACAAGAAGTAACATTAGGGGAATAAGCTACATTTTCTGCTAATGGGAGAAACAATTTTTTTGCTTTTTTGGAAGTTCTGGTTCTGGCAGATTCAGCTCCTCATGAAAGCTTTGAAACACTGATTTTTTAGAGCGCTTGTGGACCTCCCCTCAAACAAAAATGGCAACTTGGGGGTTTAACCCTCTCCCATTGATCCCTAGGGTTACACATTCTCCCTTTTTCCAATGGGGATCTAGAGTATTGGTAATTATTAGTTCTAATGTGTTACAGTGACTGGCGGAGCAGGAGGTGTTGGCTTCCCCCTTCTGAAGATGAACTGGGTCTTTTTTGTCCTTTTTCCAACTAGCCCAAATAACACATGGACAAAAGGCACAATTTTCACAAACCCCTGACTTGTGATAAACATATTTATTTTCTACTCTGTAACTCCTTTCTCAGTTAAGAGAACCACATCCTGTTTCTAGCTTTTTACTATTAATGGCTGCACAAGCATCAAATCTTAAATGTACTTCTTTGGGGATTTCTTTTTCTTCTGTTCTAGTTATTATTTTACTCGTATCACTTAGGAAAAGGCCAGTTCCTCATCTTATTTCAGAAACAGTGGTTGCAGGGGGCTCAGATGGGTTTTACCACACATCAGGTTGGTCATTTCCCGGGCTACATACATTTTACTGAGTGGCATTATACAAACAAGTTTCTTTTAATGTTCCCATACATTCATAATCACTATAGAACAGAAAGATTGTTTTAATTTGCTCTCCTACCTCAGCAACCTGATGAATACACTGGGAACAGTCCCCAGTTTGAGTAATGTCAGTTGAAGCCTTTACTGTATAAGTCCAAAATTTAAGAAAAATGAATCCCACGATGAGATTCCTCATGCTTTGGCTGTGCATGGACCAGCCAGCTTCCGGGAGTGACTGGAGCAGAGCTTGTGGTCTTCTTCAGGGTCACTTTGCAAGGGTTGTCCAGGCATGGTCTTGCCTCCTAGGTTTCAGGCACTGCAGGTTTTACATGGCTCTGGTGGATCCAGGCTGGGATTCCCTCTACCTTCACAGTGGTGGGAGACGTCAGGATGACAGTCTGGGGTCTTTCCACTGTGGGCACAAAGAGGCTATGTTCCAGTCCTTGATCCACACTCAATCACCTGGGGAGAAAAGGTGAACTGGGGAGAATAAGCTAACAGGGCACCGCTCATTTACCCAGGCTGAGATTGTTTGTGTAATTTTTCCTAAAACCTGTACCTGTCGCTGTAACTCAATTTCACCTAACTCTTGGGGAGTGCCTGGAAGTCCCCACAATATGGTAGGGGGCCTATGATATAACATTTCATAAGGGGAACATCTTGTTCTTTTAGAAGGGATACATCTTATTTTAAATAATACCATAGGGAGAGCTTGTATTCATTTTAATCGTGTTTCCTGACATACTTTCCCTAAACTATGTTTGATACTCCGATTCATCTGCTCCACCTTTCTGGAACTCTGAGGCCCGTAAGTGGCATGTAGTTTCCTTGTGATCCCCAATACTTTGCTATCTTCTGTGCCAAGTCAGTCAGAAATGATGGCCCGTTATCTGAGCCGATCCGTAAGGGTAGTCCAAATCTAGGAATAAGATCTCGAAGAAGCACATGGGTTACTTCACGAGCTTTCTCAGTTGGTGTTGGATAAGCCTCTACCCACCCAGAGTAGGTACACTGAAGAACTAGTAAATACTTGTTACCTCTACACTTTGGCATCTCTGTGAAGTCCACCTGGAGATCTTCAAAGGGGGCTGCTCCATAAGCTTGTATGCTGGGTGGAACAGCTGGACCTTGCCTCACATTATGCTGTTGTCAGGTAACACACTGCTGTGTCACTGTTTTGGTGAGGGCTGACAAGTGTGAGATGTAGAAATACTGGCCTAACAACTTTTCAAGTCACTCCTTACCTAGATGGGTGGTTTCATGAACAGCCAGTACAACTGCAGCTCCTAGCATCTGTGGCACAGCTACTCTCCCATCTGGTAACCGAACCCATCCTTCCTTTATCACCTGTCCTCCCTCTGCCTGGAGAAAGTCTTTTTCTTCTTTAGAATAAGTAGGTACAAGACCAGGTGCTTGAGGGAACAGGGGGGCTGTGATTGAGGCCTGGAAGAGGTCAGATGCTGCTTTTTGAGCCTCTAAGTCAGTGCAGGAATTCCCCAAGCCCACCAAGGTTGAAGCTTGCTGATGTCCTCTGCAATGCATAACTGCCACCTTGTGGGGTTTCCATATTGCTTCTAATAATTGCAAGATTTCTTGTTGATATTTTATGTCCTTTCCCCCAGAGTTCTATAGGCCCTTTTCTTTATATAATGCTCCATGCACTTGAAGAGTTTAAAAAGGCATACCGAGAGTCAGTGTAAATGTTTACAGTCTTACCTTCACAGAGTTCTAAGGCTCAAATTAAAGCAATGAGTTCAGCTTTCTGGGCTGAAGTGCCCTGGGGCAAAGATCTGGCTTCAACAACAGTGCTGAGGGTTACCACTGCATACCCTGCACATCTCTCTCCTTGCGGGTTGATGAAGCTACCCCCATCCACATATAGTTCCCAGTCTACTGATGCCCAAGGCTAGTCCTGGAGGTCAGGTCTGCTAGAGTAAACTGAGTCCAACACTTCTACACAGTCATGTTCCACAGGGCTCTCTGATACTGGGAGCAAGGTGGCAGGGTTCAGGGTGTTACAAAGTTCAATGGATATATGGGGATTTTCACAGAACAAATTTTGGTACTTGGTGAGTCTAGCATTGGTTAGCCAATGATGTCCTTTAGTATTCATTAAAGTCACCACAGCATAGGGGGCCTTTATGTTCAGGTTCCACCCGAGGTCAGCTTATCCACTCTTGTACTAGCAGGGCAGTTTCTACCAAGGCCCTCAAACACAGGGGTCATCCTTTAGAAACCCCATCTAGTTGTTTAGAGAGGTAGACCACTGGCCGCAGCCAGGCCGCCACAGTTTGGGTTAAAACTCCAACTGCCATCTTTTCTCTCTCTGACACATAAGATGTAAATGTCAGATCTGGTAGCCCCAGGGCTGCGGCTGACATAAGTCTTTCCTGTAACTCATGAAAGGCTTACTGTTGTTGGGATCCCCATTTGTAATGCCTAACCTTGTTTTTACTCTAACTCACTATTTTTAAATTTTCCCTTTTTGTCTCTGTAATTACCTAGCCTTGTTTCCCATGTAAATAGACTCTCTCTAAGCTGGGAACGCTGGATGAACTCCATTTGGCCCTGTGATTTACAAGACACTAAGCGCTCCTTACCCAACCCCCTTCCTCAAGGAGTTAACTTGTGTAAGCAGATCCTCATCATTTCAAAGGAACCCAATTAACTGATAAGGTACTGGAACAAACAATGTATGAATTTCCCAGGATTTTGATCAAAGAGATAACAACATAAAGCCTTGAGTCTGTGTCCAGCATAGCATCCATATCTAACTCTAATGAAGGATTTAGAGCCCTGCACCTGGTTCCCTTTCCTTTTCTTGTAACCAGTTGTCTTTTAAATTGTTTATCTCTCTGTAAGCATTTGTTTTTTTTTTTTTTGATTGTTGCATGTTTTTACTTCTGTAGAATTATTGCATTTAAACTTCCCTCCCCTCCCTAAACCAAGGTATAAAAGTTAATCATGCCCCTTCTCTGGGCTGAGAGAATTTTGAGCATTAGCTGTCTCTTTGGCCACCAGCTTAAATAAAGGACTCTTAATTCATCTCAAAGTGTGGAGTTTTCTCTAACTCGCTTGGGTATAACACATTCAAATGGTTCCCGGCACCCCCACCCCCCTCCACACCGCCTCACTTTGTGACTTCATACAAATGCTTGGCTAATACTGCAAAGTTTGGGATCCACAGTCTGGAAAAACCCACAGCTCCTAAGAATTCTCTCACCTGCCTTCTGGTCTTAGTCTCTTGTAGACGGCAAATGACCTGCTTTCTTTCTGATCCCAGGCTGTGCTACACCTGTCAGATAGTAAATCCCAAGTAATGTACCTGCTGTTGGCAGATCTGAGCTTTTTCCTTGGACACCTTATACCTACAGTCCTCCAGGTGCCAGAGGAGGGCATCCGTTCCCTTGGTGCACCCGACTGTCATGGGGTGTCCCAGCAGGTCATCAACTTACTGGAGCAACACTCAGCCTAGGTCTCTGGTGGGAAACTTCTGGAGGTCTTGAGCCAATGCCTCCCTGAAGATGGTGGGAGAGTTCTTGGACCCTTGGAGAAGCTGGGTCCGAGTGTACTACCAAATGTTCAGCACCGGTATCTACAAGAAAATCAGTGTCTTTACCTCGGACTGTCATCCTGACCATATGCCCCTAAAGACGGGGCCCTTGAGCCCGGTCCCCCTCAGTCCAATAACCCTTCTAACCTGGTTGAGCATGGCCCCTTCCTCCTTATCTGGGGCCTCCTGGTCTGAGTCACCTTGTTTTCCTTTTAGCTGTAGACATTTGTTCTTCCAATGTCTTATTTCTTTACAATAAGCACACTGGTTATGCTGCAAGCTCTGACAGCCAGGCTGAGTTTCTCTCCCAGGCCCCCTCTTCCCTTGCCTCTTTGGGGAGACCCCTCTGATTGCTGCAGCTAACAGGACAGCATTTCACTGGACCAGACATTCATTCTCTTTGTGGTTTTCCTTATGGCTTACTGCATACCTGTTTACAAACACCTGGTTAACTATTTCTAATAACTGTGATGTATTCATCCCTGCAAACCCAGCCTTTTTCTGCAGTTTTCTTCTAATGTCTTCTGTGCTTTGACTAAATAAAGCCATGTTAATCATGCGGGATTTTCAGGGCTATCAGGATCAAAGGGAGTAAACATATGATAGGCCTCACACAATCTCTTATAGAATTGTGCTGGAATTTCTTCTTTCCCTGAATGACCTCAGAGACCTTGTTAGTGTTTGTGGTCTTCTGGGCTCCCCTCTTTAATCCTTCCAAGAGAACTTCCCTGTATCAGTTTAGCCTTTGCATATCCTCTCTTTCATTTGGGTCCCACTGGGGTCGGTTCTTTGTGACTGGGTCCTTACATATTCTTGGGGATTTTGGTAATTCGCCGATGCATGTTCCTCTAGCCACTTAATTGCTGCTTGGGGCACTCTCTGCCTTTCATCTGTGTTAAAGAGGAACATGAGCTACTGGTGGCAATCAGCCCAAGTGGGGTTATGGGTCTAGATAATAGTTTGGAGCAAATAAATTAGAGCTTGTAGCTTTTCAGTATAGGATGGGGTATTGTCTTTCCAGTTGAGAAGGTTGGCAGAGGTGAAGGGCTGGTACACAAAAACATACCTCTCCACCATGTGACCATCCTCATCTATCCCAGTATACCACTGCTCTCTCAGGGGCATTTGTATCCCAGTTTTGGGTCTTAAACGAGCTGCCAATGTAGGGGTTTCTCTCGAGGCTTCACCTCCTCTCTTGTCTACTCCGGGTGGCCTAGGGATATGTTTGTCTTGTGGAGGCACAAGGACTGTGGGCTCAAGAGTGGGGAGCATCTTTCCCTGGTAAGGGGAGGGCACCACTGGGATCACTGGTTCCATCTCCTGCAAGGGATCTTCTGATGTTGGGTCAAACAGAACTTCAGGAGTTGATTTCCCTCGGCGGGTGGAGTAGGATCCTTCCTTGGCAATCTGTCCCTTTGCTACTAGCACTGCTGCTGCCTGCCCTCTTAGCCACTGTGGGGGGTCTAGCACCAGCTGTAACCAAGTGGCTATGTATGGAAACTGGTCTGAGTGTCCTGACTTACCAGTTACCTTGTGCCATACCTTAGAAACAAGGGACCTCTCCAGGTTTCCTTCTGATGGCCAACCCACTTCTAATTTTGACCAATCTATTTCAAAATAAGTTCTACATTTCCCTGGTGTCATAGTAACCCCATAGTCTCCATTAAATCCCTTCTTAAAATTTTCAACATAGTTCCTAGCGGAGTGGGCTTACTTTGTGTCTGATCCATGTTACCTTGAGACAAAACACCAAACTCACACCACACGCATACCACAGAACAAAGAATGGGTAAAAAGGGCACACACACACTTTTCCAGTTTACACCAAACCAGAATCAAAACCAAAATCACAATATCCAGAAATCCAAACCAGGTAAAAACCAAAACGAAAGTATCAAACAATTCAAGTCAAGTTGAAAACAAAAACCAAAGTACTGGCACAGGCACGCCATGGGTGATCAGGCCATGCTTCCACTCAAATGGAGTGGGCTAGTTCCAAAGACCAGTCTTACCAAGTATCAGATATCCAGACTTAAACTGCCATTTCTTTCCCAGTGTTCAGCCACTGCCTTGATCCTCTACGGGGGCCTGCCATGCACTGCTCTGGTGAGACATTCCACTGGGGCAATTGCCTGCCCAGGAGCACTCTCATGATCTGCTCTCATTCAAGCTGGCCTGCGTTCCCCACAAGGATACTCCACAGGTCAGGCCTAAGCCACCTGAAGGGCTGCCTCGATCATCCATTGATCACCTTGCTTCCTGGTCAGGGAACCAAGAAATGTAGCAGAATGAGCCATGGACAAAATTCCTCAGACACCGGATTAAAGAAGGAAGAGGTTTGTATTCAGCTGGGAGCATCAGCAGACTCGCATCTTAAGGGCTGATCTCCCCAAAAGAGAAATTCCTAGCCATTTTAAGGGCTTACAACTCTAAGGGGTCCACGTGAAAGGTTCATAAAAGATCAAGTAAGTGCGAGGAATGTGACTGGGGGCTACATACATCCGCTAACAGAACAAAAAGTTTTACAGGGCTTTCTCATACAATGTCTGGAATTTAAAGATAACACCAGTAGTTTTGGTCAGGGGTTATTATTATTATTATTATTATTGTTATTATTATTATTTTAACCACCAGGGCCAGGTGTTGGCACCAAGGTCATCTAACTATTTGTCTTACTTCTGTTTCCTTCCAACGTTTTGCTTTCTCCCTTTTCTCCTGCTTATAAACTAGGGAAAAGGGGAGGTGGGGGAGAGGCTGGGAAGGACAACAGAAGTGGGGTCTCATTCCATAATTGACCAATAACTAAACTACCTTGAACATTATTTAAAAACTAAATTAAATGTCAAAATATAAATAAAGTGAACCATATTTGTAGCTCATAAGAACCGATGAGGAAAAGAGCAAGTTTCAAAAAGACAACAGTGGAAGAGAATATTAAAACCTAATTTACTAAAATAAAATATAAAACATTAACAACAATATAGGGAAATGTTCATCTTCATTAGTAGTAATCATACTTAAGTAATAATATTAGGTTATGCCCACTATTTCTTAGTATTTTATATTAGCTGAATTCTAGCTACATACTTCTAACCTTGATTAGTTTCCCACATAAGGTGGATGACTGAGCATATGCTAAAAGTTTGTCCTTCACTGAAAACATGGGACCATGTGTGCATTTTAAAAATATTTTTAGAATGCCTAATTACACTGATACAGAATGGTACTGTGTGCCCGGGAAAGGGGAAACTCACAGTCCAGAACACTAACTAAAGGTGAAAGACACCAAAATCAGAAACAAGCAGCAGGGGTCTAGTTTTAGTGTCCTGCAGTAACAGAGAGTGACCTCATCCCTTAAGTGGTTGGATAGCAAAACCAGGCTTCCTTCATTAAGCCAGGGCTAAGAATTGTGCTCTCTGACTTGTTTAGGAGATGTAGCTGTCCATTGAAAGCTGACTGTGGAACAGGAAGGAAGCTGAGATGCTGCTACGAAATTAGGACCCAGCCTGAATTGCACACAAACATAGTGACTAGGATTGTGTTATACAAATAAAGAGCTCCAAACTGCTCATGTGGCTCTCTTTTGAGTCTCCAAATCCAAAATGTGTAGCAGAAGCAACAATGAAATTGCTAAATGTGGAGGAAAATGTATGATTTGAAACAAAATAAAACAGCCACCTCCCAGTCAGGACAACCCTCCATCAAAAAACACAAAAGGAAATTCATGAAAGAGATAACATTGCAAAAGGAAAATCTAAATTAAGAAAATCAAGATATTACAGCAAGCTGTCTTAGAAAGATAGACATAGTAATTTTAGATTTTTAATATAAGCTTTGAGATAAAGTACCATAAAACTCACCCTTCTAAACTTTACAATTCAGTGTTTTTAAGTACATTCACATAATTATGCAAACATCACAACTTTCTACTTTTAGAACATTTTCAGCACATATTTAGGTCTACAATGCATCTTGAGACCTCTAATTTTTATATACAGTTTAAGATAGAGATCACACTTCACTATATTACAGGTATATAGCCAGTTGTCCCAGTAGTTTCAGAGTTTTGTTTAAATGTTAAAAATATAAGGAAAATTAGAGAAAGACTAGAAAATAAAAGTTTAATCTAATAGAGAAGTGCATGGAGTAAGCTCCACAATCCAAAATGAAACAGGAAAGGAAAACAGATGTGATGCTGAAGATGGTATATACAAATACACATGAAAACAGACCAGTGATCTCAGGAAAAGGAAATAAATCAAGCATGCCTATTAAAAGGCAAGCATTCAAATCAGAAACAAAATAATTCCTTCTATAGACTATTTACTATAGTCATATATAAACAAAATAACAAGTTTAAAATAAAATATCAAGTAAATTAACAAATAAATCAAATAAATGTTAATATATAGCAAAATAGAATCAAAAGTGAAAAAGCATTGAATTGAAAGTGAAAAAGCATTAATGTGAACACAGACAGAGAGTGCACACTAGTAAAACAACAATCCACCAAGAACATAACTATCATGAACTGGTATAGAACAAACACCTAGTTTTGAACAATATGAAACAAATACAGAAAGAATTACAGTGACAAAAGAGCATCACCTACCTTTTCTCACCTGCTTGAAATTTACATCATTTTGCCATGTTACATGTGATCGGAAAGACACTATACTTTACTTTGCCATTGTGGTATAAAGATGGGCATAAATATGTTCATATGAGACAAATAATGATATGAAGAGATTATTTTCCACCTGTCAAATTTGTAAGTGTCCTCAGAAATGATAATATTCAAATGATGTTGGCAGGAGTGCTGTCCACAGTCACATTGGAACCTGAGGCAAAATGAGGAAATTGGATCCTGTCTTTATTTGAAATGTGATTTCGTTCATCACAGGTTTTTGCTATAATTTTGTTTTAAAATATTGCATTTAAACACTATTAAAATCTTTTGTCCAAGTAAATGCTTCCTTTCTACTTAGTAGCCCTGTACTTAGTATCAACATGCCTGGCAACACTCAGCCTTTGATTCAGTTATTCCACATCTAAAAAGTGAACCAAACTAGATTATATGAAATAAGAAAAAGAAAGGAAAAATAATTATTCAACAATGTCTACTTGCAGTATTACATATAAATTAATATAAACGAATAATCAAATCAGCTACATGAAAAGACATACAATAAAAGGTCTATTTTTTGTTTGTTTGTTTGTTTCTTTGAGATGGAGTCTCACTGTGTTGCTCAGGCTAGTGTGCAGAGGCATGAACTTGGATTACTACAACTTCTGACTCCCGACTTCAAGCAATTTTCCTGCCTCAGCCTTCTGAGTAGCTGGGATTACAGGTGCCTACCACTGCACCTGGCTAATTTTTGTATTTTTAGTAGATACAAGGTTTCACCCTCTTGGCCAGGCTGGTCTTGAACTCCTGACCTCTGTTGATTCACCTGCCTTGGCCTCCCAAAGTGCTGGGATTACAGACGTGAGCCACCACACCTGGCCAAAAAGTCTGTTTTTAAATTTGACCAATATATGTCTGTGGTCAATTCAATAGCTCTCATAAGTTTTCAAAACAGGGGTTCCAAAATTTTGGTCTTTGGGCAAAAGGGTCCATGAGATTCATATAGAGAGTATATTTAACAAAATATTTAGCAAAACTACAGACCTCCAGAGTATCTAAAGGTGGGGTCATAGTATCTAAAATATTAAATAGCACTTCAGAAGGTGTAGTAGTAGCAAAACTGCCATTGGGAACAATTATTTATAATACAATTTGATCAGGCTTTAACTACTTCACTGATGCTTGTTAGAGAATTCTTTGTGTCTTATGTTACAAATAAGAAAATTGAGCCCAAGGGTGATATAGTCTGATTTTATAAGGCAACACAAAGACAGAAAAGCAAAAATTTGTCTCTATGATCTCTATTAGGTCTTGCTGTATTTTCCGGAACAGAAAGATTGTCTCTAGGCAGAAAATTTAACGAACCAACTGAGTTTTTAAATTCATGTTTTCATAAATCGGGACTTCATAAATTGAGGCATACTTGTATTTATTTAAATCTACATTTCCCTTTGAGAAACAATGCACAATGTTGCCAAGTTATCTATGAGAAGGGCAAAGAAAACTATTCAAAAATATATTTTTTTCAAAATGTATATATTCAATAGCTGTTAATAAAACCCAGCTTCTTTTCAAACTTTTTATAATGAAAAGCTTTTAAAATGATTAGAATGGTCTCTTTATTCAGACACTAAAAAAGAAATAACAGGATGTTTTCCAGAACATCTGCAAATCAGTGAACACACAAATGGAATGCTTAAAATGGCTCTTCCGATATTAGTAATTGTATCCACCATTAGTTAACATTCTGCCTGCTATCTCCTTTCATCCTAGTTGACCCTATACAACAGCCTAGCAATTTCTTTCCACATATGCTACTGCACAAGACAGACCAATTTTATTGAATAAAGGACAAAAGCTGATTCACAATGAGAAAATGCTATCAGACATGCTAGACCATACTCAGGACTTTCAGAATCACTATTAAATAGAAAAAAAATTAAATCTATTTTGAGAGAAACTTGATTAACTGGCTTGCCCTTATGATACCGGGAAAACTTGTAAAGCATGGTTGTAATGCTGAATCATCAAGGGAAGTTTTTTGAACTACAATTCCTGCCCCAGTTATATTCTTGGAGCAGCTAGCCCATCTGTTGAAAACTGCTGCTGTAGAACCAGGCACTTTGGGTCCTTTTTTAATTCATAACACACAATTAATATGCACCAAATAGTGAATGCTGATAAATAATTATTCACGTGTGTATTCATTCAAGAAATGTTTACTGAGTGCATACTGTGGGCCATGTACATCCAAGAAACTACAATTGTAGTAGTGAACAAATAGGCAAAAATTCCTGTTTTCTTGCTCCTTAAATTTTGGTGTTCTGGCTATAAGTGTCTTTCACCTTAGGTTGAGTGGGAGATACTTTAATTTATAAAATGCATATCTTATTTTCAAATGTGTTTAAATTGTTGTTCATGAAAGTCTGAAATCATACTTAATGGTCTGTGATACAAAGTGTAGCCAATGGAAAAATAAATAAGATGGTGCAAATTTTAGTAAAATTAAATTTCAAAATCTATATTTTTTCCTAAGTCAATCAATTTTCTGTCTTCAGTTTAAAGTAGTCAATATTTTAAGCACTTTTATTTCAAGCTTCATATCTACAATTAAATTATATTATAGGTATTCTTATTGTCATGCTAGAGGAATGTTTCTAAATAGTGGTATAAAAGATCTTCATGTTCATTTAATTCAATTTCAATGGAAACTAGAAAGTGAAGATTTCCTTTTCATAAAATGCAACTCTCTTTATAATGAATATCTATTTTGTGACTGAGAAAATACCTTTGTTGGAGAGGCCTAAAGTTTACATCAGATATGTCTGTATAATAGAAATGTTAAGAATTAGGCAATGTGAACTGTAATCACTCAATGGTGTTTCCTTGGTAAGAAAAGATATTTGAAAGCAAATTGTCCAATTGTCCAAAATAGCCTGCAGTGATAAAGGCTTGGCAAAAAGAGAAACACTGGGATAATGAAGACTCAAGACAATAGGTCAAAAATGAATGTTCCTACTTCACACATTTTTGTCACTAATTGATATTTGTGTGTGTGTGTGTGTGTATGTGTGTGTCTTAGAATAGCTTTACATCAGTTTTTATTCCTTAAGTAGAACTTGGAAATTGTGTGTGTGTGTGTGTGTGTGTGTGTGTGTGTGTGTGAGATTTCCACATTTTTGCTGTATGTCTCAAAATGTAAACTATCTGGGTCCAAAGCCCACTTTTACCACTTAATAGCCCTTTGAACTTGACCAAGTTATTTATTTTTAGAGGTTCAGTTTCCTGATATATTTTTGCACTGCTTCATATAGAATGATGTTAAATTGTCAAAATTTAACTGTTATTGTGAGCTATTAGGTTTACTTTTAAGTAATTTTCAGCCAACTAAGACTATTGTTGGCATTAGTGTAGTCTGGAAACCATCCGAATGTTCAACAAAAGTCAGCAGGACAAATGCTGATTTATCAAAATACTTACTTGAACATTATGTGATTAAAATGATGTAAGATAAAAAATATTTAATAAAATATATTTTTATTTATTTTATGTTAATAAGAAAGACTATATCTTCACAGAAAATCAAAACAAATCTGAAAATACTGAATAATAAGAGTAAATAATTTGGGATGTTTTGATTGGAGTTCAAGCATTCTAACATTTTCATATAACGTAAGAGACAGATGTTATTAATTTTAGAATTTTTGATATTTTAAATACATATTAAATTTCCTCAACTACTAAATAAACAAAATAGAATGTACAACTTCTAGAACAGTACAACAAAAAATGAAACAATGGGAAAGAATCATGATCAAACCAAAAGTAATCAACTATGAAAGAAGAAAAACTATAAAAGTGGGACAAATAGGAAATACTAAATAAGATGATAGAAATAAATCAAATGCCAATTATCCTGACTTAATCATTATATGATATACACATGTATAAAACATCATATAGTACCCAATAAATATGTGTATTTATTATGCCAATTAAAAAGAAAATGGGCCGGGCGCGGTGGCTCACGCCTGTAATCCCAGCACTTTGGGAGGCCGAGGCGGGCGGATCACGAGGTCAGGAGATCTAGACCATCCCGGCTAAAACGGTGAAACCCCGTCTCTACTAAAAATACAAAAAAAAATTAGCCGGGCGTAGTGGCGGGCGCCTGTAGTTCCAGCTACTTGGGAGGCTGAGGCAGGAGAATGGCGTGAACCCGGGAGGCGGAACTTGCAGTGAGCCGAGATCCCGCCACTGCACTCCAGCCTGGGCGACAGAGCGAGACTCCGTCTCAAAAAAAAAAAAGAAAATGAAACAAAGAATATACATATGTACATGCATATGTATATACACATGTACTTATGTGTATACATGTATATATACACACATATAAACATATGTATCTATGTATATATAAACATATGTACACATATATAGATACATATATAAACATGTACACATATATAGATACATGTATATATAAACATACACATGTATATATAAACATACACATGTATATATACATGTATATATAAACATACACATGTATATATACATGTATATATAAACATATATACATGTATATATAAACATATATACATGTATATATAAACATATATACATGTATATATAAACATATATACATGTATATATAAACATATATACATGTATATATAAACATATATACATGTATATATAAACATATATACATGTATATATAAACATATATACATGTATATATAAACATATATACATGTATATATAAACATATATACATGTATATATAAACATATATACATATATTACAAAGCACAAACTATGCTGTTCACTGTCATATCATATTTTTAAAATGTATTTGTACATTTTAATGAAAGTCATATTTAAACATGAGGACACAAGAACCATATAAGTAAAATACAAAAGATATACAAAATAAATGAGAAGAAAAATATTTGGCACAACTACATTAGTATCAGACAAAATAAATTTTAGGCAACATTTATTTCTATAAAGAGGGCCAATAAATAGTTACAGAAGTATTAATTCATTATGAGATTAAGCAATTCAAAACAGTAAAAATAGTTTTGAGAATAGGTTAAAAGTGAAATTTGACTAAACTACAAATCAAAAGAAACTAACAAATCCAACCATCATATTTGAATTCTTTTTTTTTTTTTTCTTTTTTGAGAGGGAGTATTACTCTGTCTCCCAGGCTGGAGTGCAGTACAGCCTGGAATGCAGTTGCACAATCTCGGCTCATTGTAACCTCTGCCTCCCGGGTTCAAGTGATTCTCCTGCATCAGCCTTCCGAGTAGCTGGTACCACAGGTGCGTGCCACCATGTCCAGCTAATTGCTATTTTGTATTTTTAGTAGAGATGGGGTTTTACCATGTTGGCAAGGCTGGTCTCAAACCCCTGACCTCAAGTGATTTGCCCACCTCGGCCTCCCAGAGTACTAAAATTACAGGCAGGAGCCACCGCGCCCTGCCGCATATTTGAGAATTTTAACGTACTTCTCTAAATAGTTGACAGGTTAAGCAGAAAAATATCAGTAAATATCTGGAAGATTTGAACAGGATAAATAGCATGCTTAATCAAATGGACATCTAAATAGAACATGATGGCACCCAACAACTGGATAATGTACATTTTAAATGTATAGGAAACATTAACATAAATTGACCATCTGCCAGCTGTTAAGTCAGTTGTCAAAAAGATTAGGAGAAATGCCCTACAAGTTATTCCAGCATTTTCTTGTAGAGCTGTAATAATTACATTATGTATTTTGGGCTCAGTGATAGATGATGAGAAAATAGAACTAACTAGAGATCCCGGAAGCCAGTCTACACACATGGGATGAACAAAAACTAATGTTAATATCAAAAGATAATCCACAAAATGGCACACTGTATATGCAACATATAAGCCAACAATGGTTAGCATCCAGAACATATAAAGAAATCCTCCAAATCCTGAAGCTGATAACACAATAGAAAAAGGAGGCACAATATGTAACTGGGCATCTCACAGGAGCAGAAACACAAATGGTCCACAGTTATTTGAAAAGATATTCAACTTAATTCGTAACGTGGGAAATTGAAATTCAAACCACAATGATATAAAATTTGACACTCATCAAACTGGCAAAGTTATGAAGTCAGACAATACTATGCATTAGTGAAGATAGTAAGTAATTAGCACTCCAATAGAACCACAATAGATATATAAATCAATATAACCAATGTGGAAATAAATTGAACACACTTATTACCCAAGACATAACAATTACACAAGTAACAATTACATACTTAAATATATATGTCCTACTTAACTTCCTAAAAATTTGCACCTTGTAGAGTTGTTGCCAGATTTAGCAAATAAGAGTACATGACTTTCAGTTAAATTTAAATTTAATATAAATAATAAAGCATAGTGTATGTATCTTCTAAGCAATATTAGGAATATACTTATTCTAAAAAATTGTTTTATCTGAAATACAAATTTAACTGAGCAACTCGTATTTATCTAGCAACCATAACCATGTATAGAAATAGATAAATATTGTTTGTGCCATCGAAACACTAAAATTAACCAAAAAATTTATGTACAATACAACTATATTTATTAGCTGGGCATGGTGGTCTATGCCTGTAGTTCCAGCTACTAGGGAGGTGAGACAGGAGAATCTCTGGAACCCAGGAGGCGGGGGTTGCAGTGAGCCCAAATAATGCCACTGCACTCCAGCCTTGGTGACAGAGTGAGATTCAGTCTCAAAACAAACAAACAAAACAAAACAAAACAAACACATTTTATGCCTACAATGGAATACAAAATACTATACACCTTATGAAAACTGGCTACTTTTATCAACATGGAGACAAAAATGTAATGAGCACAAGTGGCAGAAAAACACATATGATTCCAATAATAAAAAGTCAAATACAGGCAAAAAGCAAACATTATGTCGTTTAAAGATACATACATAGGTGGTAAAATATGAAGGACAGCATGGGAATAATTACCATAATATGCAGAATACTAATAACATGAGAGATAAGGGAATAACATTAAGAAGGAATAATCAGAGAGCATCATATATATTGGCAAAGTATATACATCAGTCTTTCATGTATATGATACATTTTATAATGAAGCTTAAAAATAAACGATGTTTCCGAAATATTGTATTAAGTTAAACATGGATTGTAGATGAACATTCATGGCATAATCTCCTTTAAGGGAGTGAGGTGAGTGAGAGCAAGACAAAAGGACCCAGAAAAATAGATCTTGAGGTCTCAATAGATGAAGTCTCTTGAGTTTTATGGGATTATGATCATCAGTTGCATTCATTTTGTTACAATGTCTTTTCTGACTTTTTTTCTCTTCTTTTTCTATAACAAAAAAGCAAATGAAAGGTAAGCAGTAACATCATAAAACTCCTTTTTCTTTCATTTTCTAATTTTAATATTCTATTTTCAAACAATTTTTCTTGTATTTGTTTAGTAGTGCTCTCATGATTTTAAATATTTTTCAAGTATATTGAAAATGATTGTTACTAATCACTAAAAAACAATGTTATGACTTACATGTAGCACCTCACAAAGGGCATATGTGAGATATGGGTATGGATCTTTAAGTTGTTTTTAATTTTCATGTGATGTATGTTTAGATCTTCACTTGTCATTATTGTCAATAACACAGAGAAGACTTAATTAGGTTAATTGTTTTTTACTAATGAGAGAGAAAAAAGAAATATATAAAAATCCAATAATTTGGCATAGCTGTTATCTAATAGCTTGCAGTTGTGAGTAAATTTTCACCACGGCCAAAGTTGTTGGTATTGTATTTCTTTTTCCCAAAATTCCCTTCACCCAAATTATTTTTGACAGTCCTCTGCTACCATATTAACCTCCAGGGCACTACTAATTTGATTTCATACTTTATGCCAACACAATATTTAGAATGAAGTATATATAATTTTGAGTATACTCACTTTCTGGAAAATGTCACCTAAAATAGTGTTCTTAATAGAATGTTTTTCACAGAGCAGGTGTATAAAAAGCTCTCTTACATCCTGCTGGGCACAGTGGCTCACACCTGTAATCCCCCTACTTTGGGAGGCCAAGGCGGGCAGATCATCAAGTCAGGAGTTTGAGATGAGCCTGGACAACATGGTGAAATCCTGTCTCTACTAAGAATACAAAAATTAGCCAGACGTGGTGGCAGGCGCCTCTGATCCCAGTGAGAGGTGAAGCCAGGGGACCTCCTGTGTCAAGTGGGCACTTGGAGAACTCTTCTCTCTAGCTAGAGGATTGTAAATGCACCAATTGGCACTTTGTAAAAATGCACCAATCAGCGATCTGTGTCTAGCTAAAGAGTTGTAAATACACTAATCAGCACTCTGTGTCTAGCTAAAGGATTGTAAATGCACTAGTCAGCATTATGTAAAATCAGCCAATCAGCACTCTGTAAGACTTACCAATCTGTGCTCTGTAACATGGACTAATCAGCAGGACATGGGTAGGGCCAAATAAGTGAATAAAAGCTGGCCACAAGAGCCAGCAGTGGCAACCCACTAGGGTCCCCTTCCATGCTGTAAGCCTTGTTCTTTCACTCTTCACAATAAATCTTGCTGCACTGACTCTTTGGGTCCACACTACGTTTAAGAGCCATAACACTTGCCACAAAGGTCTGCTGCTTCATTCTTGAAGTCAGCAAGACCACGAATCCCCTGGAAGGAACAAACTCCAGACACATCTGAAGGAACAAACTCTGGTCGCACCATCTTTAAGAGCTGTAACACTCACGACGAAGTTCCTTGGCTTCATTCTTGAAGTCAGCGAGACCAAGAACCCACTGGAGGGAACCAACTCTGGATACATCAGCTACTCCAGAGGCTGAGGCAGGAGAATTGGTTGAACCTGGGAGGCAGAGGTTGCAGTGAGCTGAGATCACGCCAATGCACGCCAGCCTGGACAACAGGGTGAGGCTCTGTGTTAAAAAAACAAAAACAACAACAAAACAAAACAAAACAAAACAAAACAAAACAAAAACCTCTCTTACTTCCTAACTATGCAATTGGCCAAAAGGAATCTTTCTCCACATCATGTGTGTGAGGAATAACTACACTTCCAAATGGTGTGACACCTTGTTCATCTTGCCCTACTTCATTCCATACATACCCCTAAAGTCCCTTACTTTAAGAACTGAAATCACTGGGATTTTTCATTGACAAAGTGAGAGTATGTGTATCAGAAATGAAGTAATCATGTCAAAGTATTGAGAATTCTTAGGAATATAATGTTACCGTATGTTTTCTTTTGCACTCATTCTGGCCAGTCTCAAAATCATCTGTGAAAAGTAGGTTAGACTGTTTTCTTACCGAAATGCTTCATTAATTCTTGTGAACTCCAGGAATTTTGCTACTTGTCTTGTTTATACTGCAAAGGATGCCATCTGCAATCATGGAGACAGAACATTAGAGCTGAGTGGCACATGGAGTGAGTGACTAACTTATCAGAGAACAAAACTGGGACACGATAATACCAGACAAAGATCTATAATAATATAAACTATAATAAATAGTTATACCCATATTTGTTATTATTTTAAGTAAAACTATGAAAAATGAATAGGTTTTTGGAATTATATATTATCTGTATTTACTTTGGTTGCATAAATTCTATAATTTATACTTAAAATCAAACTAGTTAAAAGTCACAATTAGCAGTAATTCATATAAATTTATGGTTGTGAGAAAAATATAATTTATAATACATCATTGTCTTCTGATATAGCAATTTAACTCTTTTTAAAAACGATTGAATATTTAAATATTGTAGGCCATATTGTCATATGTTCTTTTTGTTTTCTCAAGTAGCTTTTGTATTTATTTTGAATATTTTAATAAATACTAATTATATATATTTATAGGGCACAATGTGATATTTTGATGTATGTGTACATATGAAAGGATTATGTCAAGCTAATTAACATACCTATCACCTTGCTTACCTTTAACATCTTACATATTGAGACATTTGACTCTTAAAAAAGAGAACTCTCCCTCTCCCCAAAAGACATCAATGCTTAGTTGAAGACACTTGAGTTTAAAAAAGACTTTTAAA
The DNA here is from genome assembly GCF_000001405.40 of Homo sapiens. Lineage (NCBI taxonomy): Eukaryota > Metazoa > Chordata > Mammalia > Primates > Hominidae > Homo > Homo sapiens. Next base: position 8,850,756 of record NC_000024.10, on the reverse strand, counting down.
AAAGAGAACATGACATGATTTTTAAAAAGAATATGACATGTTTAAAAGGTTACTTGTATTTGACAAAAATAATGACTTTTTTTCCTGCTGCATGATGTTTCTACTATTAACTGTTTCCATTTCCATTTCTACATAATGTCTGAACTGCCTACATGCTTTAGGACATCCTTCTTTTCTTTCATACAAAAATAAAACTGAATACAGCCAAATATATAATTTATTTTGACTTGCAACTCTGCTCTTATCAAGATCACATTAAAATGATTACTGATATGGGTCCAGTGTGATGGCATCATGCTAACTATCCTCTAAAATACTGTTTAAGGGCTGGGCATGGTGGCTCGTGCCTGTAATCCCAGCACTTTGGGAGTCAAAGACAGGCAGATCATGAGGTCAGGAGATCAAGACCGTCCTGGACAACAATCCTGGACAACAATCCTGGACAACACAGTGAAATCTCATCTCTGCTGGAAATACAAAAAATTTGCTGCGTGTGGTGGCACAGGCCTGTAGTCCCAGCTACTTGGGAGGCTGAGGCAGGATAATCACTTCAACCCAGGAGGCAGAGGTTGCAGTGAGCTGAGATTGTGCCACTGTGCTCCAGCCAGTGCAAAAAGTGAGACCCCTCCCCCACCAAAAAGCACAAAAACAAACAAACAAACAAAAAAACCGTTTAAGCAGGGGATACTTAAGATTTTACTTACTGGTGAGAGCAGGTTTTCAGACTTGCAAGAATTAATTTCTAGGTCTCCAAACATACCCATCCACTTTGTAACTACAGGCTTATTTTGGTAGACCAGCTGTTGCTCAAACTGAACTATTGCAGCCACAAATTTATCAGATATGGTATCCATGTATTAAAAGGCCTGCAATTTTTAAACATTATAGAGAAGAGGATAATTTGAAACAGTTACAATGCACAAAAGTAATTACAGTTTGTAAAAATTGAAGTTGTTTCTTTTTTTATTTTTGTGGTGACATAATAGGTTTATTTATTTGTAGAATACATGAGATATTTTTATTATCAAATAATGTACAGTTTTTTGAACTAAATTGAGGAGGTTCCATTTAACAACCCCATTGTGGTAACACTATTTAGAGTTTGGAAGCAGGGTTATTTTTGAAAAGTGAGTCCCTTTTAGGTTGTGAGTGTTTATTGAAACTACACATAACATTGAAGAACTCAGGGTCATTCAGTTCATCCTTTTCTAGGTAAGTTATGACACCATCAAAAATCCTCAAAGAGTTTTAAAGAAACAACATATACAGGATGTTTTATTGTCATTTTCCTCCATTTTCATCATCAATGTATTTTCAAATGAGAGAACAGCAGTTTTTTTTATGCCACACTTTGAAAATGTGATTTTATGGCAGGACAAAATTTTAATCTTTTTTTACAGGCAGCAACAATGATGGGAGTTATCTTGCAAGCAAAGGTCTACAGATGAATTCTGTTTCTGTAAAGTAAAAAAACCAATGCATCAAATACTGCTGCACGTTTTGGGAAACAAAAACATTCCATTACAAAAGCCTTAATGACACAAGTTGCACACTTTTTCAGAAGTACTGTGGCTAAGGCCTACAGAATATTCGCTAGATAAGATCTTTTAATGTTCTTTGGTAAGAAGTGTATACATTGAAATAAATTTGCCAAAATTTAGCTTTGTACTGTCTGCTGAATATGCAGATAAATGAGTAAAATCTAATTTATATCTTTTGTTTTATGTTTCCTATATCATTATTAAAATCTTCATATAGGATGATTTTTGAAATTCTCTATTTCAAATCAAAACACCTAAAAGATAGAGAAGACTTGTTGCTATGATATAAAGTATCAAGTAATATACTGTAGAAAGCATGATATTTGGTAAAAAAAAAATGGACAGAGTCAGCTTTACACTGTAATAAACAAACACATCCATTATCAAATCCCTTTTTTTACCTATAAAGTGCATTTAGTTGAAACCTCTGAAGAAAATCTGAAATGTAAGTTTATTCAGATTTATAGAGCAATCAAAGGAATGTTATGATCATGAATGTACTTTTATGTGGTATGCCCAGGTTAATTCAGTGGCAAGTGTTTTCAACTAACCATTGGTGTCTTTTGGGGAGCCAAAAACATTTCTCACCTGTCTCACCCAAGACTTATGAAATTCATTCTACATATGTGTTTCACATCTCTTTCTGCATTATGCTTAATCTCAAATTATTTTCTGCATATTGCACAGTATTCTCTGTTTGGGTTGTTTACTTCATTTATTTCCTATCTGAGTCCTTCTGTCAATATTAAAATCACACAGCCTTCTTTTTCAGTGATAGCCAGTTCTGCATTGATATTGCAATCATCTTTGTCATTATCTGAACTTTACATAACATGGTAGCATGACTCACAATGTTAGAAAGTTAAATTAATAATATCTTGATACAAAGCACAACAGGCAAATTAACAACTGAACTGTTAACACAATACACATAAGTTGCAGACACTTTTGTCTGCATTATCTTAAAGTGAGGCAATAGTGGATGACCTATTACTGTTTATCACAGATCAGGGTTGCAACATTAGCAATAAGGAGGGGTGGAGGGGGAACAAGAGAAACACAGACGACAAATAATCTGATACTTACCCATTTAATACTGAAAATAGTATTACTTTCAGCTCCTATTATAGGGGTGGCCCATTTCCTCCCCATCCCTCTCTAATGATAAAGGGAAACTGGGTTTTTTTCACATCACAGGGTAGAGGTTTTCGGGTAGGTGGGACTTTTGGGGCTAAAACCAAAATAGTCTCAAGAAAACCCAGTCATTTGGTCATTCAAATGATTCATTAAAATAACCATAAATCATTTCAACCATACATTTTTTTTTCTAATGAGTAAAGGAAGGCTAAGACAGAGCAAGTGGAGGTTACATAGCAAATTAATGTCAAATTTAACACTGTACTCTATATCACTGTCTCTCAGTTTAAATCTCTTGCTACCATTGCACCTATTTTTGATAGACACAAGTCTGGCTGATGGGTCAAAATTTCTGAGTAGAGGAAAAAATAATGGCACAGCATAGACAAATTACCAAGATCTAGAGAATACATTTTTGGTCATAGTTATAGGAAGATAGAAAGTTTGAATAAAACATAACAAGTAATATCTTATCTGACAATTATTTGAAAATATTTGAAACTTTTTCACAGCATTTAGCATAAATTCCACCATATGTATACATAGTTCCCATATGTTAAGGACTGGATGTTTGTGTCCCTCCAACGTGCGTATGTTGAATCCTTAACCCCCAACGTGATAGCATTTGGAGACAGAGCATTTTGGAAGTCATCAGGGTTAAATGACAAAAGGGTAGGGCCCTCATGATGGGCCTTATAAGAAGAAACACCAGAGAGGCAGTGGGAGCAAACTGTGAGACGGTTAACTGCCTATAAGCCAAGAGAAAAAGCTTCAGAAGGAGGCCTAATTTGCTGTTACCTTTTTTTTTTTTTTCCTTTTGCGGATGGAGTATCGCTTTGTTGCGCAGGATGGAGTGCAATGGTGCAATTTCGCTTCACTGCAACCCCCACCTCCTGGGTTCAAGTGATTCTCCTGACTCAGCCTCCTGAGTATCTGGGATTACAGGCCTGTGCCACCACACCCAGCTAATTTTTTTGGATTTTTAGTGGAGATGGGGTTTCACCATGCTGGCCAAGCTGATCTCAATCTCCTGACCTCAGGCGAACCACCTGCCTCAGCCTCCCAAATTGCTGGGATCACAAGTGTGAGCCACCACACCCAGCCATTTGCTGGTGCTTTGACCTTGGACTTCCCAGCTTCCATAATTATGAGACATAAAATTCTGTTGTTTATGCCACCAATTCTATCACATTTTATTATGAAAGCTCAAGCACATTATGATACCATATGTTTGGAACAAAACATTATAGTCATCCAGCTATATATGAGCTATCTACAAGTGTTACCAAATAAAACTAAATTTCATGGAAGAATTCACACATAATATTAGATAATTTCAACTTGAATCCTGATATAATAAAATTTTAAAAATACTCCTGAAGACAAACTAGATTTGGAAGTGTAGCTTAATGTGTGTGTATATAGTATTGACCACACATTCAGATCAACACACACTCGGTTTGTTTACCACTATACTCTAGTAGGCTTCTCATTCCTGTCAATTCTCACTTAATGAATTCTTCCTTGCTCCCTCATGTCTTCAGAGTCCTACTGATCTGGCTTCAGAAATCTAATTAATGTAGACAAATGAGCTGAAAAGGCTTCACTCCTTTATTTTTGCACCATTGTAGCTCTCCCTGCACCATGACTACACACTGATATACAACCTCAGCTCCCTTCCTTGGCCCACTGGGTTACAGCTGCACACTTTCCCTAACCTGTCAGCTGATGTCTTTATTGTAGAACATGCCAGAACATTCTGGAATGTCCTTTCATAGAACTATCAACCTCTCTACACACCTCAGCCTTGTGACAGATGCAGAAGTACAATCTTCACATAGCCCTCAGCTTTTACACTCTCATGCAAGACTGCTGTGCAAAATTGCATGCCTATTCTGCTGTCCGTTTACATTTCCCTTGTTCTTCCAAACATTCTAATTCCTCTTTTCCATATTGTCCTAACAGTCAAGTTTTGATCCTCTTGCTTTGAACTGTGGATTTCTCTGCACTTCAATGGAGCCATTCTTACCTACATACCCTCCACAGAAGCTACGGATTATGGGGATTCAGATTATGAACTCTAGACTAGAGTCAGTGTGCTTGGGTTAAAATTCCTTCTTTCCCTACTTCCTACTTCATTTACCTTTACAAAGTCACTTAACCTGTCACTGAACTTTATTTGTCTAGATCACAAAATGATAATGAGAATAGCCTTATTAAGATGTTGAAAGGATTAATTTAGATGACCCCTGTAAACCATTTAGGTTTCTGGGCCAAAATAAGTGATAAATAAATTGTTGTTGTTAACAATTTATTCATTCTACTATCTTCATACTACAAGGCTAAGTGATATAAGTCAAATTTGTGATTTGAATGTGTTTCATGTTTAAGTTATAACAATTTTGAAACATACTTTAATTCATTTGTTCTTTGAGATATATTACTAACATTAACTAAAATAAATTTAATGTCTAAATCACATTGATTAATACAATAGCATAAAAGTGAACTGATAGTGACATTTTAGTCTTCATATTTAGCAGTAATTCAGCTGAATCATGAAGACTTGACTTCTAACAATACAACTGTTATTAAAATCTGTATGACCTTGAGAAAGTTACTTAAATTGAATTGCAATATCCTCACATGATTAAATGGAAAAATTCATTTCAGCAAATATTTGCTGAGCACCCATGATGTGTCAGTGTTTACAGTAGATGATTTGCAGACATCTCAGTCATCTTTATAGCAGTACTGTCTGATAAGAGGGATTATCCTAATTTAATAGCAGAAAAAACAAATGTTTTCTTCAACTTTTAAGTTCTGGGGTACATGTGCAGGATGTGCAGGTTTATTACATAGGCAAAGATGTGCCGTGGAGGTTTGCTGCACAGGTCAACCCATCACCTAGGTATTAAGTCCAGCATCCATTAACTATTCTTCCTGATATTCTCCCTCCCCTCACCCTCTGGACCCCAGTGTGTGTTGTCTCCCCTGTGTGCCCACATGTTCTCATTATTCAGCTCCCTCTTATAGGTGAGAACATGTGGTGTTTGGATTTCTGTTCCTGCATTAGTTTGATGAAGATAACAGATTCCAGCTCCATCCATGTCCCTGCAGAGGACATGATCTTGTTCCTTTTTATGGCTTCATAGTATCCCATGGTGTATAGGTACCACAGTTTCTTTATCCAGTCTATCATTGATGGGCATTTGGGTTGATTCCACATCTTTGCTACTGTGAATAGTACTACAGTGAATATAAGCATGCATACATCTTTACAATAGAATGATTTATATTTCTTTGGGTATATACCCAATAATGGGATTGCCGTGTCAAATTGTATTCCTGCTTCGAGATCTTTGAGGAATCACCACACTGTCTTCCACAATGGTTGAGCTAATTTAGATTCCCACCAACAGTGTGAAAGCATTCTTTTATCTGCACAACCTCTCCAGCATCTGTTGTTTCTTGACCTTTTAATTATTGTCATTCTAACTGGCATGAGATGACATCTCACTGTGGTTTTGATTTGCATTTCTCTAATGATCAGCGATCCTGGTTTTTTTTTTTAAATATGTTTGTTGGTCACATGAATTTCTTCTTGTAAGAAGTGTCTGTTCATGTCCTTTGTACACTTTTAATGAAGTTGTTTGTTTTTTCTCCTAAATTTGTTTAACTTTCTTGTAGTCTCTGGATATTAGACCTTTGTCAGATGGATAGGGTGCAAAAGTTTTCTCTCATTCTGTAGGCTTTCTGTTTTACTCTGATGATAGTTTCTTTTGCTTTGCAGAAGCTTTTTAGTTTAATTAGATCCCATGTGTCAATTTTTGCTTCTGTTGCAATTGCTTTTGGCTTTTTCATCATGAAATCTTTGCCCATGCCTATGTCCTGAATAGTATTACCTAGATATTCTTGTAGGGTTGTTATAGTTTTGAGTTTTATATTTAAACCTTCAATCCATCTTAATTTTTGCCTAAGGTATAAGGAAGAAGTCCTTTTTCAATTCTGCATATGGCTGCCCAGTTCTCCCAGCACCATTTATTAAATCCTTTCCCCATTGCTTGTTTTTGTCAGGTTCATCAAATATCAGATGGTTGCAGGTGTGTGGTCTTATTTCTGAGTTCTCTATTCTGTTCTATTGATCTAATGTGTCTGTTTTTCGACCAGTACCATGTTGTTTTGGTTACTATATCCTTGTAGTATTCCTTGAAGTATACCCATAGAGTTATGCCTTCAGCTTTGTTGTTTTTGAGTATCAGAAAATTATTGAGGCCCTCCCTGTTTCCTCACATTAAGAGGACCAAATGGGCAAAAATGTGAAAGTGCTTTATAAATTAGAAAGTACTCACCAAACATACTATTACTTTAAATTTGATGTAATTTTTTTGACAAAGCATAACATTTCAGTAATTACATTGTTGTCTATTCTTTCCCCCTGTGTTTTGATGAAAAATCTGAATAATCATAACCACTGGTAATTGTTTGTAGAGTTATATATGATGATCAAATTAAAATCATAGTCTTATAATTGAGATTGTTAGTTGAATATTAAAAGGAAGCTTTAAAAGAAAAATGTTTAAGATTAAATAAATGTCACTGCTCTAGAAACCTATGCTATGTACCATTACATCTTTGTGCCACAAATTAAAACAGTTAAGGTTTATATATTTTTAAAGTCTTAGGAACATACTATTTTAGCACAAATGTTGAAGAAAAAAACTTTTGAAATCTTTAAATTAAATTTAACATTTTTTTAGAAAACAAAATTCTAAGAAAGATTTGTGTGAAATTATTTTACCTCTGAGAGAGCTGCATATTCATTAGTTAAAACCTGGGGATTTCTTCTTAGAATAAGTTGATGATATATGTGGCAATCCAACAGTGCCATGCCTTTGCCAAGGATAATGCAACAATTTTTATTAGAAAAGTGTTGCTTTTAAAATTGATGAATAGCAAATGTGAAGTGGTAATATCTAATACTGAAAACTGAAGCTACACAAGGAGCAAGATATGATAGATAATTGGTGTTTTAATATCATGAAATGTTCATAAATGAGAAATATTTTTGATGATGCCTCAGTTTTGATTTTTAGCCTGTAATTCCAGCACACCATTTCAGATTGACCCTTCTTTATAGTAGAATAAAAATAAAATATCTCATTTCATCCTGAAAATACTCAATATGGCTATTTAAGTATATTTTTGTGCTTAACTGAAACACATTACCTATTAATACTCCATAACATTCTGCAGGGGTACTCTGGGACCTAAGATTTTGCCTACAGAAATCTGCAACAGCAATTTTAAGCAGTTGTAAGATGATGAGAAAATTTAGGCATTTCCAATAATATCATTCAATGCAGCGTATCTTCATTTCTTTAATAATAAAGAAGAGTCCTGCTGATCAAGTATTACATAGCTTAAGTCTCCTTTGGGGGCAAGTAATGGCAAAGCCTAATTTATGTCTTTAGGTTTTATCTCAATATTAACCTTTTATGATTACAGTTGAGTTAGAGGCTTAATAGAACGAGGTGAAGCTACTAAAACATAAAACTATATAATATACATGTTTTTCATGGCTCCCTCCAGAGTCTAGATGTTTCCTTCAATCTGAATGAGGCAGACAATGATTTATCTAGTCTTCTCAGTTCACATTTATCCTTAATGAGAAATTTGCCAGTTATTTTTGTAATTAATAATACTGTGCTCCAGAAAAAAATTGATGTCAATTAATAACTGAAAGAGAGCCTATATAAGTTTAATTTATACACAAACACACACACCCCCAACACACAATTACATAAGGTCATTTTATATATAAAATATAAGAGAACTCTGGATTGCTCACACACACACACACACACACACACATATATACAACTGTTATTAAAATCTGTATGACCTTGAGAAAGTTACTTAAATTGAATTGCAACATCCTCACATGATTAAATGGAAAAATTCATTTCAGCAAATATTTGTTCTGCTATGTGTCAGTGTTTACAATAGATAATTTGCATATATCTCAGTCATCCTTATAGCAGTACTATATAATGACTGATTATAGCTCATATCTAAAGTGAGATATATATATATGTCAGCAATCCAGAGTCCTTGGATATGTGTGTGTGAACTTTTTATGTAGTTTTAGAATTATAAATTACAATCTTCCTATCCAGTATTCCTTACTAAAGGAAGTTTTGCCAAAATGCTGCCTAATGCTTTCTGAAGGGCAATTGAAAGTGAGTCTGTGGCATGGTCAGATAGGGGAACACTACCTGGAGCCATGCTATCCACATCATTAATCAGAAGTTGAAGAATTTAGAAAGATCCTGGAAATATGAGTTATGTGGGCTAGAGAAAAATGTATAATCCCATTCAATAGAGTGTTAAAGTTTCCATATATCTGCTACTCCTAAATCAGTAATAGCTGAGGATGAGCTTTTTAAATAAAATGCTATTCTTGATAATATAAGCCAAATCTCTGAAGCAGTATGGAAGGACATTGTAAGTCACCACTCTAAATTGTTTTAGTAAGGACATTATTTTGAATTTTGAGAGAACTATATGTATTGTCATGTACTTTTTAAAGTTGGATAATTCATCAAAGAAGTACAATATCACCAAATATTTTATGTTCCTCTGACTTCTGAGGAATTAACTACTTAAGATGTTGGGATGGTTTGGCAGGGACAAGAGACTAAGTAAAAATATACTGAAGTCCTACTATATTCCACAGTGCTTTGCATATTATTTTATTTGCTCACTGCATGCACATACGCACACACGTGAACCACTTAGGTAGGAATTTTCATCATTTCCACTTTACAGTTGAAAAAATTGGGACTTGAAGTTCAATAAATTGTCCCAGGTCAAAAAATATTTAAGTGACACACTTGGGTCCATATTACTGTGAAATTAATGTTCTTTTCCCTACATCATGAGGCCTCCCTTAGACTACACTAAGAAAATGTATGCAGTCCTCTATTTTATTTTTGAAATATGCACTTATTTATCAGTGAAACCTTTATCTCCTGTCAGGGATAAACTTCATCTAGTTAACCTTTGCTGCCTCACAACACTTGAATCAATGCTGTGCAACTGACTGGTGCTCAATGGTGTGGGATTAGCAAAATGAACTAGTGATTAACGACCTCAAAAATTGCCAATAAAAATCTAAATGTAATGTGAGAAGTCAATGAATTTTGGAAAATTCATCTTAAGGAACAAATATGAAGATACTAATCCTGTCGGCCATAGTCCATGCTCTGAACTATATTTCTCTTGCAGTTGGAAGGAACCTGCAGTTGGTGTCTCATTTTAGCACCACTGGCAATATGAATACCAAGAAACAGAAATATGACCCATCATCTGAAAACAGAACTAAGCTTCCTGGCCGATGTGAGCCAGTTACTAAGTTATTAAGATTTCCATTGATAGGTCTCAGCTTAGAATGCTGGGGACAGGAAGCAAAAGCAAATCATGAGAAATAGCACACCCTTCTTGTTTTGTATTCCTTGACCTCAGCTCTCTACAGGGAAGGGAGGGCTAGAGGAACAGCCACAGGACTAAATGTATCACCACGTCTTTTCTGGGCCAGCTTCCTAAACAGAGTCTTGAAGCAACTCTTCTAGAGCTACAAGTCAAGGGTTACTGTGTAGAAAACAATGTACTGATCCATAAAGCATTATTTGGTGATTATAGAATATATGTACACACACACACACACACACACACACACACATACATACCCTTGAAAAATGAGCAAAATAGTTTATATATAATTACAATCTAATATGTTATAAATAATTACAATGTAATGGAGCCAATATCCCCAAAATTTCAAATAGAAAATGATGAGATTGGGGATGAACACAGAGGAACAACTATGAATATCTGTGTATGAGCAGCTATTCTTTCATCCTTTCTTTAGGTTATAATAGAATAAACTGTCTGTTAAGTATCAGCACCAAATTCCTTTCATCTTTCATCTTTTAAGGGAATTAACTTTTTAAATATTCATGCTTTGTTAATCTCCAGTTATATCATTTATCTGTCACATCTACATATAAATACACTAACATATTTTTAATCTTAACCTTTGCATCTCTCCATTCCCACCAGCTACTGCCCTATATCTTTTCTCTGTCTTACCTGAAAATTGCTTCACAGCCAACTTCCCACTGTAACTGGAATTTGGTTCCTTCTGGTCCTCTGAAGCTATTCCCATAAGTTCATTAGCAATATTTCTATATTTCTCAGCCTTTTGATCTATGGTCCCTTCTCATTGTGCTGTGAGCAAATTCCACCACTCCAATGGATTCAGTTACCATAGATGAAATGTTTCAATAAAAACCCCTAGAGGAATTATCAAAGTATCTAGAAGTGCATGATGGGGGAGAATATGTAGTTTGAAAACACATATTACCAGTAGCAATTATTTCTTATATAGAGTATTGAATATAAAGGGTAAAAATATGAGATATTAGAGAAATAAAGCAGATTAAGAAAGATTGCAAGAGTTACTTATTTGGAAAGGGTGAAAAACACTAATACTAATGAAGAGAACTTCCAAATCCAAATTACCGTTTGGACCAGTCTCTTAATCTCCAACTCTTATACTGAACTGCCTCACAGACATCCACTTGAAAATCTCACTAGCACTTCCAACTCAACTGTTAAACATGAATTTATCTTCTCCTGTGGATCTCATTTCTCCTCCTGTGTCCATCAGTACAGTGAATTTCAAGACTGTAATCCCTGGTACTCAATGCAGAGCCTTGGGTATTATGATAAAATGTTTTCATTCCACATTCTCTCACCTGAAATCACCAAATCTATCATTTCTTACCATTATTTGCATAAACTGTTTTCTATCTTTTCTTCACTTTAACAGCTTTATTGAGGTATAATTAACACACCATAAAGGTTATGAGTTATAAATTGTGCAATTTAATGATATTTAGTTAATTTATGCAGTTGTGCAATCATCCTAAGAATCCAGTTGCAGAAAATTTTCATTGCCCAAAAAGAGCACTAACTCAATTGGGCTTAAGAGCCCTTAAGTCATGGCTGGGGAGGTCTCACAGTATGGCAGAAGGCAAAAGGCACATTTTACATCGTGTCAGACAAGAGAGAATATGAGAACCAAGAGAAAAGGGTTTCCCCTTATAAAATCATCAGATTTCATGAGACTTATTGACTACCACAAGAACAGTATGGGAGAAATAGCCCCTGTGGTTCAATTATCTGCCACTAGGTCCCTCCTGAAACACATGGGAATTATGGAGGCTACAATTCAAGAGGAGATTTGGGTGGGGACACAGCCAAATCGTATCAATTATTATAATGATTTTATAAATGTAAAAACAAAGAGAAGGTAGAAGAGTAAGGAAATCCAGATTTTGAATATTTCTCTCTCTCTCTCTCTCTCTCTCTCTCTCTGCCTTTCTATGGCTAGAAATGTCACTCCTTTAACCAATATAATTTCCACACATTTTAAACTGTTTCAGAGTGTGGACGACAACAAAACATTTCTAATTGTTTCATTAAGAAAATATAATACTAACACCCAAATCAACCTAATGACAATAATAAATGCAAATAAATCTACAGAAAAATATGTCAATGCAAAAGTCTGAAATCAGGTATTTGAAAATATTTGTAAACGTAATCCAACAGTATACCAATAAAATAATACATAATGATGAAGTGGGAGACATTCTGAGAATGAAAAACATTCAAAATCGGGAATCCTGTGAAGAATTGCATAAATATACTTTACCATGTTAACAAGCCAAAGGAGGAGAGAAATATGGTCATTCTGGTAGATGTCAATGAGGCAATTTATAAACTTATACCTTCATTTAAATATGAGTGCTTTCTGAAAATGTGTAATATGTGATTCAAATTAAAAGCCATATGTTTAATTGTAAAAGTAATTGAAAAATTTAAAATTTATATGTGCACAAAATTAGGATGCAGGTTTTGACAGTTATTTAAAAATATTTTCAAATTGATAGATTTTCTGCTCTTCTATATGTATCTTATAACATCATGTTTTATAACTTGAATACATACAAAAATTATTTTCTAACAATTGCTACATAATACATTTAGAAAAGAAAAGAAAAAGTCTGAGCTCAGTGGCTCATGCCTGTAATCCCAGCACTTTGTGGGGTGGATCACCTGAGGTCAGGAGTTTGAGACCTGCCTGGCTAACATGGTGAAACTCTGTCTCTACTAAAAATACAAAAGTTATTGAGCATGGTGGTATGTGACTGTAATCCCAGCTACTTGGGAGGCTGAGGCACAAGGATCACTTGAACCTGGGAGGCTGAGGTTGCAGTGAGCTGAGGTGACACCACTGCAATCCAGCCTGAGCAACCGAGTGAGACTCCATCTCAAAAAAAAAAAAAAAAGAGTAGGACAAATTTACGTATTTGATATGAAAGTGGCTGCAGAATTAATATATAATGTCTAATATCTTCCTTTCATACAAACAAAAAGCTAAAATGAGATGAAAAGGCCCATTCACACAGTCAGTCAAAAGTAAAATGAAAAGAAAATAACAATTAATACATTAAATAAGCAATGCATGAGTACTAAATGAAGAAAGCTACCATATAAAACTTTACTGGCAGAGTTTAAAGAAAAAGTCCTGAAAAAAGTAGAGAAACATAGAAAAGGCAATGACTTAAAGATGTCAGTCCTTCTTGTGTCTATAAAGAGATTAAAATGTCATATTCTGACCTTTCAAATTGGTAACAAAGGAAAACATTAGCAAAAAGGAAAGAACATAAGGAAATCTGCTGTCAGGGATGTCATGGAATGTGAGCATATTTATACATACTAAACCGCACTAGAATACCAAGAACTTATAAAAAATGATAAATATGATGACATAAAAAATGTAAAGCTTCTTTTTAGCTAAAAATACCATGATGAGAATTAAAAGGCAACCTGGGAAAAAACATTTGTAATACATTTGACAGTTTAATTTTCTTAGTATTCAAAGAGCTTGATAAATCAAAACTAGAAAGATAAGTAACATTATTTTAAAACTGAGCAACAAACATGAAAAGCCAATAACAACTGAAAATGCCAAAATAGAAATTGAATAAGCCAAAATAATAATTGAAAATGGTTAGTAAAAATGAAAAGATGTTCATCTTTACTGCTTATGAAAAATTTATATGAAAATGAAATTTTCTTACCCTTCATAGTGGTAATTAGGAAAATACTAAAAAGATGGAAGAACATGTAGTCTCCCACTGTCAGGAAAGGTGTATGATGTGGCCGTATCTGTGTACTGGTGGGAATGCAACTTGTCCCAGCCTTTCCAGAAGGGAAATTAGCATTGTGCTTCAAAATTGTTTAAATTAAATGTCATTTGGCCAAACAGATCTTCTAGAAATATTTCTGGAGATGATAGCAAAAAATTCATAAAGAGTATGCACAAGCATGATCACTGCAGCATTGTTTTATCAGGGAGCTTCTGGTAACAAAGCACCTAAATTCCAAACAAGAAAACATAGCTTAGTAAAGAGCCATCAAGCCAGGAACCGTTCAGCAGTTATGAAAATAGTGATGTAAGTGGAAATAAAAAGGAGTTTACAAGACATTCATGAGTGAAAGTAGCGAAGCAGCAGATAACATATACATTATGGATTTATATGTGTAAAGGTGTAAGTGTGTGTGCACATATATGAATATATGACTAAAATAATCTTGATCTTCATGTTCTCTCATTAAAATCTATTTCCAGTGTTTCTCATTCAAAGAAACAACAGTCGGCGGGGTGCGGTGCCACAAGCCTGTCATCCCAGCACTTTGGGAGGCTGAGGCAGGTGGATCAATTGAGGTCAGGAGATGGAGACCAGCCTGACCAACATGGTGAAACCCAGTCTCTACTAAAAAATACAAAAATTAGCCGGGCGTAGTGGTGCCTGCCTGTAATCCTAGCTACCCAGGAGGCTGAGGTAGGAGAATTGATAGAACCCGGGAGGCGGAAGTTGCGGTGAGGCAAGATCGCACCATTGCCCTGCAGCCTGGCCAATAAGAGAGAAACTGTCTCAAAAAAAAAAAAAGGAGAAAAAAAAGAAAGAAACAGCAGTCTATCATTGCCAATATGCAAAGAGCAACTTTATTTTTTATTTCCCACTTTGAAAAATTGCCAGAGTGGAAAATACATTCATAATGCACAGAAAAGCTTATTACACAGCTTCCTCCTCTTTTTGCTTATCTCTGTTTCCCTCGAGAGCTTCAGCACTTCTTCAATTCATGTAATCGAAAGCCTTAGAAATACCTGGTACATTGCATATAATAGTTTAGTAGCCATAGGGAAAGAAAGAGTAGATTCACACTCCCAGTGCAAATTTCCAGGTTCAAAGCTTATATTGATAAAACATGGCAGCTTCTCTATTACTCAAGTACAGGTAGCAAAAAAAAAAAAAAAAAATTGAATAGAATGATGGATAGCAAGTAATAGAATAAAAATATTCGGGGCAGATATAATTATAACAATAACTACAAATATAAATATATATTCTTAATCAAATCCTCCTTGTCATTTCTCAAGAAAAAATATATTACTTTGGGTGCATTGTAAGACTCTCTACTTTGCAATTTTCTTAATAAGAGTAGATTGTATACCATCAGAAAAAAAAAATTTCTAGCATTTTTCTGTAAAACTTTCTCATATATACTGTAAGGACTTATGGCATGCTAATGATCAGTGATATGATACAGAATTGCTTGAATTATCTGTACATTTTTACATGCTTTTAGGCCAGACCAGAATTTTTTAAACCTGTGCACTATAGGTACCGTGGGCTGGATAATTCTTTTTCCTTGTTGGGGATGAGGGTCTGGACTGTGCATAGCAAGACCATTGGCAAAATCCCTGACATGTACCCATTAGATGCAAGTAGAATCTCTCCCTGTCTCCTCTCACCCCAGGTTGTGACAGCCAAAAATGTCCCAAACATTGCCAAATATGTGACATGGAACAAAATTGCATCCACTGAGGATCAGTGGAATTGACAGACTATGCAGCACAAGATTGCATATGGATATGTGTGTGTGTGTGTGTGTGTGTATGTGGTGTGTAATATGCATAATATGTTTGTATCCTATGTTAAATTCTGTGTTTGCAAAATAACAAAAATGGATCATGTCAAAAGTAAGCACAATAATGTTGAAACTCAAACAATAAATACATATTTATTTACAAAATTCATGAAAGGGTGATCAGATAAAAAAATTGTGAGAAAAATGTCATTATTGGAAAAAAAAAAAAAAAAAAAAACACTGATAAAAATGCTATCCAGAACTGAAAATTGCAGCTATCAGGGGTGAGGAACTGACAGAATTCAGCTAAAATCTAACTGGAAATATTGTATAGGGCAAATAGAACTCTATTTAAATTTATGTTTTAATCATTTTTGGTGTCATTTTTTTTCATTCTTCAAGGCAGAATATGCTTAAGCTCATACTAGTCTTATTTCTGTATAATTCTAGAATGATGAAATAAATCAGAGAATTGCATAAACTCCCTGGTGAATTCACCATCTGCCCATGCCCTCTCAATATGTTCTATGACTGAAGTCATTGAACAAGTGAAGTTGAAGGCATAGTGGAACAGAAAGAAACAATGAGAATAGAAAATAAAGAGAATGTGCAAATATCAAAACACTGCTGATTTAGGAGCCCATAGTTCAATCTTGCTTTGGGGAAATTTGTCAGTGTGCCCAAAGCTTCCTCCAGCTTCAGAAGTGCTTCTTGCTGTGATGAAAAACTTTGGTGATAAATATTGCCATCAGATTCATCTTTAGCACAAAGAGCTAGCTGAATTAAACAACAGCAAAAGAAAAAGAAAGTCCTAAAGTAATGCTACCATGGTTGAACTGGCCAAGCCTTATATAACAAAAACCTTACAGTATTCAGACCTAGAGTTATGTTATTGTTCAATTGCTGGCTTTGACAATGATTCCCAGGTCCCTTTCCTGTGATAGTTGCTTAACATAATCAAACACCTTTAACAGGCCATTTGTCCATCTACCATAGGCAGAAATGAAAATCCTTAATTCCCCCTTGTTTCCCATACTTTGTAAAACGGTCCCTTGTAGCTAAGAAGCCTCATTGAAGACCTCTGTGCATTTCAGAAAAGTGATATGTTTGATAACTTAAAATGCAATCCAATGTGTATTTTTATGAATGTCAATATATTGGCTGGGATACTGTGATAATGTGATGATATGTAAAAATTGGAATAAATAGGTGACAGTAGGATCTTAAGTCTATCCTAATTCCTGTCATATAACTTTTATTTATTAAGGTTTTCTTCCTTTCTGTCATGTTCATGTGTAGAACATGATAGTATTCGTGTATGCTTAAAATAGCCAATGCTGTTCTACATAAGCTACAGCCAAAAACCAGTCTATTTACTTCTCAAAATGCTCAGCTTAATCCCGACTTAAACAAATGATTGAAGCACTTAAGTAAACTCCACTTCAACAGAGAGACATCTTTAGACAAGCCGTGAACAAAATAAGTTCTCACTATATTGATCCAAACAGAAACAGGAGGAGTGTAGAATTGGTCACACACAAAATTCTTCATTGCTTCATAGATCAGGGCTCATCAAAGTAAGTTCTCTGGGCTAAATTCAGGCCACAATCTGTTTTGTAAGTAGAATTTTGCTCTAATGCAGTCATGTCAATTAATTTACATATTATCTACAGCTGTTGTTTTTCTGTACAGATAGAGTTGAGTAGTTTTGACAGAGATATTATGACCTTCAAAGCATAAAATCTTTACTGTCTTGCCCTTTGTAGAAGATAGCTGCCAATTCCTGGCATAGAATATCAAAAGGAAGGTTTTGTAGAAATAACCCAATCCTCTCATTTTAAGAAGGGGGTAAAAACTGAACCCAAGTGGGAGCACGTAGCTTGTCTAAAATCACACATCTTATCAACAACAAAGTAGTTACTAGATGCCAGCTTCCCTGATGTCCTTTGGAATAAATGGATATTGTCTCTTAGAATTATAACTAAGGTCCACAGTTATGCAGAGTTCATATTTCAACCTTATCTCTTATTATAATTCACAAAAACTTTTGATTTTTTAGATAGAAGAGTGAAGAAACAAGTCTGTGCACTAACAGTTCTTTGCTTTTTTTTTGCAAATTAGATGAGACAGTGTACATACGTGTGTAGCCCAGCTCCCAACCCAAGTTAAATTTCCTTTCTACCTTCATTTTTTCAGATGAGGAAACAGGTTTGAAAGGTTCAGTGGCTTGTACTGAGGCCATACATGCAATAAGAGTTAAAAGTAGAATTCATCTTTGATGCTTAAGATTCCAAGTTCAGTCTTCATTTTGTAATGCTAAAGAATTTGAATACAGATTGTTAGAGTTTAGGAATCAGTTGGATTAATGGCTTTTCTTTTTGCTGCTTATGAATGGTATCTTAACTAGGAACGTGAAAAGTCATCTCTCTTTTGCACTGTAATGTCCTGTGATGAGTATAGGAAGTAGAGAAGCACCCACATAATGGTACATTTTGGCGAGCATCTACATTCCTGTGCTTTGCACTATTGTAGTTGCTAAACAAAATAAAGTACCCTGTCTGTAAGCAATAGCAAAAGTAAGTTAATGCATAATGAATGATCTAAAGAAAACAAATCTCACATGGAAATAGGGGAAAAAAATCCAACTTCCTTCATGCTGGTGGCTCTCGCTAAAGCTCCTCTCTCCTACTTCTATATACTCCTTTGTGTCGTTGTATGCATTTTAGAATGATGGATCACTTTGCACAAATGTGAACCAAGCCTTAATTGTAGAAGGCAAGAAAACTAGCAAAGATGATACCAGAAATATTCAGGGGAGAGACAATGAGGTAGTGAATTAAATGAAAATGAAGCTAGAAAAGAAGATGAACATTTTTGAAGTTATTAACCCAGTAAGAATCCAGAAGTCAGTGTAAGAGTTTGAAACGTATTGTCTGATTTCAGGAGCCTTTTCCTGTAAAGGTGGGTGGTGTCTGGTACTGTCCCTGACTTGTTAGTGTAAAAGAAACAGTCTTCCCCTAAGAAGGTGCAAAGTCCGCCTTCCTCAGCAATGCATACGTCAAGGTTTCTATGGTTTTAGAGAGTCACTGCTGCCAAAAAATCTATTTGGGTTTGTAGAGTAAGGATAGATTTTGTTATTTCTTGCAACCTGAGCTTTGAGGGGCACTAATAGGGTCTGCTTTCCACAAGATTAGAAGTTAGGATAATACATGTTACACTGTTAACTTTTAGCAAACTCTACTTTTGCTAAAAACATTCTAAGTTTGGGATTTCATTTATTCTTTGCTATTAATAAGATGTCGTTCAGTCCATATTAACTTAGAATTGGTATAGATGGCTCCATTCTGATTCTGTAAGTACTTCAAAGTTTGGCTGAGTGCAAACTGCTCACACTTTTGAGCAGACCAATTATTAGTCAATTTTCCCAATTCTGCTTCTACAAGAATTTTCTTATCACTTGCTGAGTACCCATTGTGTCTTTTTCCCTTAATCACCCTAGAGGAAACATCTATCATCCTGTCCTGAAGGGAGATCATCCCAGGTCTGCTCAGACCTTTGTATGGTAATTAGTTAAAATTTAGATCCCCTTTTAGGAAACCTGCTGGGTTAAGGATTTTTGATAGAAAGGCTATGGGTTGTCAGTGGCCTCAGTGATTTTAGGTTACTTCCTTGTTTACACTGACATCTAGGTGGTATTGGAGTGTTATAAGGTCACAGAGAAGACCTTCAATTATCAATTATAGTTTCTAAATTTACCTTGGAATTAAAGGAATAGGTTACACTGTGTGTTCTTTACTACTTCTATCTCTTTCTTTCTCTCTCTTTGACTCCTTGGTCTATCTCTTCCTCTCTTTCCTTCTCTCTTTGACTTTGTCTCTCTTTATCTTTCTGTTTCTCTCTGACTCCCTCTTTGTCTCTTCCTCTCCTTCTTTCTCTCATTGACTTTCTGTCTCTCTGTCTCTTCCTCTCCTTGTCTCCTTCTATTTGACTTTGTCTCTTTCTTTCTCTCTTTGTCTCTCTGTCTCTTCCTCTTTGCTGGTCATTCCCTGCCTCTGCCAGCTGCTTATGCTGCTGTTCTCCCCTTTCCTTCCCTTTTGATGGCTTTGGCACCTTCTTGGATTTTTGCACTGTGTGCAATAACTCCATGGTTTCCTTGTGATATTTAATGGGGGCTCCCCCAAAGGTTAGGAACTCCTTTCCTTTCCATATTGTAGCATGGGCATGTAGGATTAGATAAGCATACTTACTATCTGTAGAAATGTCTCCCAATTACAACTGAGAATTTGGGAGAAATACCTGGTTACAGGCTGTCCCAGGATTCCTTGGATGGTAATGGACCTTGAGGACTGTTGTCCGGGACAGGAGATCAACACTGAGAAAGCCAATCCAGTGTCCAGGAAGAAGTCAACTTCCTGGACCTCAATGGTTATACATACTTGGGGCTCAGTGAGGGTGATAACATGGGCTGGCACTTGCCCTGGGCACCCTCAGTCCTGTTGTTGGATCATATGGTTGGGGGCTTCTGGCCCAGAGAACTTTTGACCTCTGGGGCAGTGTGCCAGAATTCCAATGATTGTCTTGGCATAGGGGACATGGGCGAGGAGGCATCTTATTTTTCACTGAACAATCTTTTTTAAAAGGTCCTTGGAAACCACACTGATAACAAGCCCCACCAGGTGATTGGCCTGCTCCATTTTCTGTCCTCTCTGAACCATAGAGATTTGTTTTTCTGAGGGCCATGACAAACACTGTGGCCTTTTTCTGATCTTGCTTTTCTGTTTGGCCTGTTTCTCTTGGTGCCTGTTACAGAACATCAAGGTTGCCAGGCTTAATAACGCCTCTAGATTTTTTCAGGGCCCAGGGCTTGGTTTTGGAGCTTTCTCCTGATATCTGTGGCTGATTGGGTAATAAACTTATCTTTTAGGATCAATTGACCCTTGAGGGAGTTGGGTGACAGAGGAGTACACTTTCTGAAGGACTCCCATAGCCACTTGAGGAAGGCAAAATGATTTTCTTCCTTTCCCTGAGTTATAGTGGACATCATTGAATAATTCATGGGCTTTTCCCTAATTCTTTTTAGTCCTTATAGAACACAGGTCAGCAGATGTTTACAACACCAGTCCCCATGATCCGAGTCTAGGTCCCATCTTGGTCACCAAGATGTGTCTGGAGTTGGTTCTTTCTGGTGGGTTCTTGGTCTTGCTGACTTCAATAATGAAGCTGTGGACCTTCACAGTGAGTGTTACAGCTCTTAAATGTGGCATAGACCCAAAGAGTGAGCAGCAGCAAGATTTATTGTAAACAGCAAAAGAACAAAGCTTCCACAGTGTGGAAGGGGACCCAAGTGGGTTGCTGCTGCTGGCTGGGCTGACCGGCTTTTGTTCCCTAATTTGACCCTGCCAACATCCTGCTGATTGGTCCATTTTACAGAGCACTGATTGGTGCATTTACAATACTTTAGCTAGACTCAGAGCACTGATTGGTGCATTTTTACAGAGTGCTAACTGATGCATTTACAATCCTTTAGCTAGACACAGAGTGCTGATTAGTGTGTTTTCACAGAGTAGTGACTGGAGCATTACAATCCTTTAGCTCGACAGAGAGTGCTGACTGGTACATTTACAATCCTCTAGCTAGACAGAAAAGTTCTCCAAGTCTCCACTCAACCCAGGAAGTCCAGCTGGCTTTACCTTTCAGTAGTAGGTATCTCCATGGGACTCTTAGCAGCACTCCTGCTCTTGGCTCCTGAGCTCACACAAAGAATGGTCTCCTTTATTCTCTGGAACACAGACCCTGGCCCTAACATTCTTTCAAGGCATCCATCCATCATGCAGTACTTAAAATCATGGATTCTGTCACTACACTGTCTCAGTTTGAATCTTGGATCCACTATTTACTAGCTGCATGGCATGGATAAGCTAGTTATCCTCTCTGTCCCTCAGTTAGTAAATATTGAGTACTCATATGTGCCAGAAATTATTTCTTCATTGTTTCTGAAAACTAAATTAGCTAATACTTATTAAAAAATTGATAGTGTTGAGTATGTATTAAATGAAAATGTATTAGCTATTATTGTTATTATTATTATTATGCCCGACTCCTCTCCTTTTATCATACTCCAAATGCAATGCATCAGCAAATCCTGTATGATCCTTAAGATACTTTCCAAATTGGCCCACTTCTCACCATCTCTACCATTACAAGTCTAGACTGAATCATCACCATCCCTCATATGGATTACTGGAATAGACTCCTACTTGATATTTCTGCTACCATCCTTATCAATCCACAATTTACTCTACACACAGCTTCTAGAATAACCTTTTAATAATTCATCACATCAGTTGTTCACTCAAAACTGGCAATGCCTTTCCAGTTTGCTCAAAGCAAAAAAACACACTTTGTGTCATTTAGAACCTGCTACCTCTGTGACTTTAGTCTCCATTATTGTGCCTGTTTCTTATTCTTCTTTGGTCAGTATGGCCTCTCCATGATTCTTTGCATATGCCAAGCACATTTCTGCCTCAAGAATTCCGACTTGCTTCTGAATAAAAAGAAGTTAATTATTTTTTTAACTGCTTTCCCTCAAATATCTACATGACTTGCTCCCTCATCTTCTTCAGTTTTTTCTCAAACATCACCTTTTCAGTGAGGTTTTACTTGAACTCTATTTAAAACAACATCTCCTCAGCATTCCCTGAACCACCACACTCTACATTATGTCTCCATTTCATTGTGTACTACCACACATAGTACATATTTAGCGTATTTATTTTTGCTTATTGCCTGCCTCCTCTCCCTAGAATATAAGCCACGTGAGGGAAAAAAAATTTGTTTGTTCACTGCCCTATTTCTAATATCTAGAACAGTGCGTGATTCAAAATATGTGCTCAGTCAATTAAATTGTGCATTGAACATAGTAAATAATTACAAGCTAATTGATTTTTTTTTTTTGAGACAGAGTCTCACTCTGTCACTCAGGCTGGAGTGCAGTAAGTGTGATCTCAGTTCACTGCAACACCCACCTCCTGGGTTCAAGCAATTCTCCTGACTCGTCCTCCCGAGTAGCTGTGATTACAAGCATGCACCACCATGCCAAGCTAATTTCTGTATTTTTAGTAGAGATGGGGTTTCATCATGGTGGTCAGGCTGGTCTTGAACTCCTGACCTTATGATCTACTCACATTGGCCTCCCAAAATGCTGGGATTACAGGCATGAGCCACTGTGCCCAGCCAGCTCATAGAATTATTCACATCAGTGACTTTAATGTAGCTGGAGCATGTGATGCACGTGTGGAAGTGGTAGGTAAATAGAAAGATTTTATAATGAGATACAATGTTCAGAAATGGTAACTAATGTTGATTGAATGTTCACCTATTGTGTCGTTTAATCCTTGAAGCAATCATATAAAATTCATAAGCTAATTATTATTTCACAGGTGCAGAAAATAAGGCCAAGGTGATTAGGGTCACAAAATAAGTGGCTTACATAGGATTTTAACTCCACGTATTTGGCTTCAGAGCCCTTGAGTGTAACCACTAAGTGTTTTATTTTTCCTAAAATGCATTTTCGATGATAGTTTGAAAGATGAATATTGAATCAGAGTGCAAGATAGTAGAGAAACTGGCTTTGAAACTACACTTCATTGAGGAATTATTTACTAATTCTTTTGAACAGCTAATATTGACCAATCTCTGTACTAACCACTAATAATGCACAGATGAAATAGCATATTTGTAGTCCTCCTAACCCACAGTGAAATGAGGAAACAAACACATATATAATTTGTGATAAACCATAAGGTTAGCACTGTTCTAGACAACATATGAGGATTTACAGAAATTTAAAGAAAGAATCAGTCAACCAGTTTCCACATAAGTGAAGGTGAACTTGCTGCAGGAGATGATATTTAAGTTATCTTTATAGTGTAATTAAGAGTTCACATTGACTACGATGGAAAGAATATTCCAAGCAAGGGAATGAATAGCATGTGTAACTATTAGAAATGACAAAAATCATAGCCCACTCAAAAACTCAGAGAATTTCAAATTTACAAATAAGGTTTTCTGAGGGGAAATGGGAGCAGGTGAAGACCTGAAGGAGAATGGGATACAAATCCTAAATAATTTTATCTTTTTAGAGTTTTCAGAACTTTGGTGAAGATCATAAAACCTCTTGCTCCCTCTCCCCTCTATCATCCCAGGCATTTTTCTCAATAAATCTTTTGCACATCTAATTATGTCTCGACATCTGCTTCCCAGAGGACCAGATGTGACACATAATGTTGTATAGAGTGCTCTTTCACAAAATATTTGTAACTGTAATTCAATCAAGCCTTCAGATTCAAGTACCAGTTTACAGAAAATACAATGATATCAGAAGAAAGTAAATTACACCATAAGTAAACAAGCACACAATTTCAGAAGATGGCAACCTTTTTTCAATATCATTAATATAAAGGTAGAAACTACTCCAGATTGAGATTTGAGATGCAGTGACTAAGTGATATGCTTAATTCTTGATGAGATGTATGTTTCAATGAACCAGCCAAGAAAAAGAGCTCAGCCAAATTTAAATATGAATACAATAATAATAGAATTTTTTTTTTCTCCCTCACTCTGTCACCTACGCTGGAGTACCATGGCACGATCTCAACTCACCACAACCTCCGCCTCCTGGGCTCAAAAGATCTTTCACCTCAACCTCCAGAGTAGCTATTTTTTTGTACGTACTTTTTGTAGAGATGGGATTTCACCATGTTTCACAGACTGGTCTTGAAATCCTGGGATCAGGGTATCCGCCCATCTTGGTATCAAAAGCATTGAGATTACAGGCATGATCCACTGTGCCTGGCCTTAGAAGATATTACTTTTGTTTGCTATCTTAATAATTTTGCAGTTTATTTTTTAAATGTTGCTTTTTAGTGATACATAATAATACAATTTGGCTGTGTTCCCACCCAAATCTCATCTTAAATTGTACTTCCCATAATCCCCATGTGTCATGGAAAAAACAGGTGGTGATAATTAAATTATGGGGGCAGGTTCCCCTATATTGTTCTCATGATAAGGAGTTAGTTCTCAAAAGATTTGATGGTTTTACAAGGGTCTTTGCCCTTTGATGGACATTGATATGGTTTGGGTGTGTCCCTACCCAAATCTCATCTTAAATTCCCACATGCTGTGGGAGGTACTCAGTGAGAGGTAATTAAATCATAAGGGCAGGCCTTTGCCATGCTGTTCTCTTAATAGTGAGTAAGTCTCATGAAATCTGATGGCTTCATAAGGCAGAGTTTCCCTGCACAAGCTCTCTTTTTGGCTGCCACCATTCATGTGAGATGTGATGAGCTCTTCCTTGTCTTCTGCCATGATTTTGATGTTTTCCCAGCCATCTGGAAATGTAAGTGCAGTAAACCACTTTCTTTCATAATATTGCCCAGACTCAGATATGTCTTTATCAGCAGCATGAAAACAAATGAATATAGTAAATACCCCAGCTCTAGAGTGGGGTATTGCTGAAAATATCCCCCAAAATTTGAAGTGACTTTGGAACTGAGTAACAGGAAGAGATTGGAACAGTTTGGAGGGCTCAGAAGAAGACAGGAAAGTATAGGCAAGTTTGGAACTTCCAAGAGACTTGCTGAATGCCTTTGGCTAAAATGCTGACAATGATATGGACAATGAAATCAAGGCTGAGGAAGTCTCAGATGGAGATGAGGAACTTGTTGAGAACTGGAGCAAAGGTGACTCTTGTTTCATTTTAGCAAAGACACTGGTGACATTTTGCCCCTTCCTTAGAAATTTGGGGAACTTTGAACTAGAGAGAGATGATTTTGGGTATCTGTCAGAAGACATTTCTAAGCAGCAACACATTCAAGAGGTGACTTGGGTGCTGATAAAGGCATTCAGTTTTATAAGGGAAGGAGAGCAAAAAATGTTGAAAAATTTACAGCCTGACAATACTATAGAAGAGAAAGACAGTGTGGAAGGAAAATGTGAGGTTGCAGCCCCAACACAGAGTCCCTACTGGAACACCACTTAGTGGAGCTGTGAAAAGAAGTGCACCATCCTCCAGACCTCAGAATGGTAGGTCCACCTACAGCTTGAACCGTGTGCCTGGAAAAGCCACAGACACTCAATATCAGCCGTGAAAGCAGCTATGAGGGGGACTATAAACTGCAAAGCCATAGGGGTGGAGCTGCCCAAGACCAGGAGAACCCACCTCTTGCATCAGTGTGACTCAGATGCAAGTCATGGGGTCAAAGGAGATCATTTTGGAGCTTTAATATTTGACTCCCCCACTTGATTTTAGACTTGCGTGGGGCCTGTAGGTCCTTGTTTGGGCTAATTTTTCCCATTTGGAATGGTTGTATTTACCAAATTCCTGTACTTCCATTGTGTCCAGGAAGTAACTAACTTGCTTTTGATTTTACAGGCTCATAGGTGAAAGAGAGTAGTCTTGTCTCAGATGAGACTTTGGACTGTGGACTTTTGAGTTAATGCTGAAATGAGTTAAGACTTTGGGGGACTGTTGGGAAGGCATGATTGGTTTTGAAATGTGAAGACATGAGATTTGGGAAGGGCCAGGGGCATAATGATATGGTTTGGCCTTGTTCCCACCTAAATCTCATCTTGAACTCCCACATATGGTGGGAGGTTCCCGGTGGAAGGTAACTAAATCATGGGGGCAGGTCTTTCCCTTGTTGTTCTCTTGATAGTGAATAAATCTCATGAGATCTGCAGGCTTTATAAGGTGGAGTTTCCCTGCATAAGCTCTCTTCTTGTCTGAAACCATTCACATAAGATGTGACTTGCTCCTCCTTGCCCTCTGCCATGATCGTGATGCCTCCCTAGCCATGTGGAACTGTAAGTAAATAAACTTATTTTTATAGTAAAATTGTCCAGGCTCAGGTATGCCTTTGTCAGCAGCATGAAAATGGACTAACACAACACTCATTTTTCTTCCTGCTGCCATGTGAAGAAGGATGTGTTTGCTTCCTCTTCTGTTATGATTTTTAAGTTTCCTGGGGCTTTTGCAGCCATGCTGAACTGGGAGTCAATGAAACCTATTTCCTTTATAAATTAAACAGTCTTGGTTATATCTTTATTAGCAGCATGAGAACAGACTAATATGCATATCAAACTTAAGTTACACAATGTCAAAATGTCCAAATGTCTAAATAAGTTTAAATGATTCATAATATAAAAATAAACCTCTAAAGTGTATCATCCATAAGATAAAGAGCAAAATAAAGATGTTTACTCACACCACGGTTATCTTTTATTTTGAAATTGCAGCCAATAAAATAATATTAATAATGATATCAGCAACAAAAACACTTTATAGTGCTTACTATGTGATAGGCACTGTTTTAAGCATTTTGTCTAAAAGAACTAATGTGATTCTTTGATGCTCAAAACCACCTTTTGTGGTAAGTAACTGTCTCACAATTTTACAGAAAGCTGAGATTAAGAGATGTAGAGTATCACAGCAGCTATTTTAAAACATATGAGCTCTAGCTCCTATAAATAAACAAATGAATATACACATACATGTAATAACAATTTGCAATTCCTTTTAAGGTATTTAATTATCTGTAAATTACATTGTTATATACCCAGAAAATCTGAGAAAATTCATTCTATGTCTTATTAGAACTAATCACAGGTTCAGTATCTTAAAAAGTTGGCACATTTATTATCATAAACAACAACAAAATGTATTTTGAAATAATCAAAGTTAAATGTATATCTTATGTAAGTAAAATTATAACGTTTATTGTGTTCCAATCAAAATGTTATTTAAAAGTGAACTGGCAAAAGAACTCAAAGATATATCTGGAATAATAGGTGATATTAAAATACTTTTGATAAAGAAAAGTGAGGGAAGACTGGTCCCAACGTATATCAATAGAATTATAAAGATAGAAAAAAGCAAAACTGTTAGTATTGGCACAGAACAATAGCTGAAAGGAACACAGTGCAAAGTCTGGATTTGGACTCAAGAACGTGTAATTTAGTATACAATAAGGCAGCATTTAAAATAGCAGAGAGACTGAATTATTTAATTTCATTGTGATTATTGGTTAACCATATTCTAAAAACTAAAATGGTTTCTTAAATAAATGCAAAGATACATCAAATACTTAAAAACATTAAATCAAAGATGAAGTGTTAACATAAATAATTACTAGAGACTTAACCACTAAATATCTTTAGGTAGAGAGGTTATTTCTAAGCATATAATGAAAGTTAAGAAACATAAAAAATTAATAGAGTTACATATAACATATAATCTTTATTTAAAAAAGAACAAAATTAGTCACAGTATAAATAACTAAATAGGAAAGTATTTGCAATACCAGTAACAAATGGTTAATATCCTGAAGGCAAAAAAATCCCTTTCTACTAAAATATGATTACCCTCATAGAAAATTTGAAAATATCACTTAAAATATAGATGGACACTAAATATGAAAATACTTTAAAATTGTAAGGTAAAGATAATTCTTCATTTATCAAAAATTGTCGGCTGGGCGCGGTGGCTGACGCCTGTAATCCCAGCACTTTGGGAGGCCGAGGCGGGCGGATCACGAGGTCAGGAGATCGAGACCATCCCGGCTAAAACGGTGAAACCCCGTCTCTACTAAAAATACAAAAAATTAGCCGGGCGTAGTGGCGGGCGCCTGTAGTCCCAGCTACTTGGGAGGCTGAGGCAGGAGAATGGCGTGAACCCGGGAGGCTGAGCTTGCAGTGAGCCGAGATCCCGCCGCTGAACTCCAGCCTGGGAGACAGAGCGATACTCCGTCTCAAAAAAAAAAAAAAAAAAAAAAAAAAAAATTGTCTAGCACCTCATTGTATATACTTGCTCTTTCCTCTATCTGGGATACTCTCCTCATTAATCTCCACTTGGCCAGCTCTTTCTCAAGATTAAATATCATCTCATTGAAGTAGTTCTTGATCAAAAGCTTAATTTAAATATCTCCCTGAACAGTTTTCATTATAGCAACCATTACCATCTGAGCTTATCTCACTCATTTAGTTGTGTATTATTTGCACCCTGAAGAGTTTCCCAAGAATATGTGTAAATCCTCAGTGCCTAAAATAGAGCATAATCTATAACAGATATTCAATAAGCATGTAAAAAATTGCCAAATGAATAATAGCTCCCATGATTCCTTCCATGTTCAAGATTCAATAGTGATCATAAGTAGAAATAGGGAAGCCAGGAAAGGTAAACTTGGGGTAAGATTTGCCCAGTTGTCTATTATACACACAAATGCAGAGTACCCACAAAACCAAGAGCATTGGAAATCTCTTTGCAAAAGGAATTATTTTCCCAAAATGAATAGAATATTAGAGAAAAGTATATATTTTCAAATGATATAGGTCACTTTCCTTGTGTATTAGCCCCTCTTTTGTGTCCAACTTATCCAAATATTTATTATCTAAGCAACAATTCCATACACTTGGTTGGAAATTTTTAGCAATATCTACAAACTCAGACCTACTCCCCAGATTAGGAAACCAAATTTCCATGGTTGTATAGGTGATCACGTGGCTGCATTTTGCAATTTAAATTTAAAAACTGTCCTCATGATAAATAGACACCTAGAGCTTTTGTCTGATTCACTGGAATAAGATATGAAAACTTTCTATGGAAACCTCAGGGGAATGAAGTTGTGGTTGGTGATTTCACTGTGTTAGCAAATGGAAATGCATTGGGAGTGATGATTAATTTTATTGTCTGTGTTCCTGGGTGATAACACAATGGCATTTTCAGAGTTTTGTTTGTGATTAACAGAAGTTTTGCCCTCAGCACTGAAAGCTTAAAAGGAAGAGGACTGTGGTTGTGTTAGAAATAAACACTTAAGAAGATGTAACTGCAAAGTCAATTAGAAAAACTAAATGATTGAAATGGCATTATGTTAGCCTTTTCAATAACTTCAGAAATGCAAGTCCAAAAACTACTTTTTGAATACCAATATTTGTAAACTTCCTAAAGAAAAAGCACGAGGTCATCACAATTTTAATATAAACCTGATATTTGCTAATATTGTCTGCCACCATGCCATATAATTCAGAATAAATGGGCTTTTGGATTTAATCTAATGGATTTACTTATTCAAGCATTACAAAGTCTTTCAGTTGTTGTTTCCTTCTACCTGTGTGGTGATATTTCAATAGGAATCACAAGGTTTACTGCTAAAGTTAGGCTCTGGTATATTATGAGTACATAGCTGGGTCACCTTTGCATTTCTCTTCAAATATTGAACATGTCCAGCAATGCATTTCAGCTATGTAGCCAATTGTCTTCAGATTAACATATTTGGCCCAAGCAAACAACTAGCCTTTGGTGGAGACCAATGGAAATACTTCTGGAGAAAATATAATGATGATTTATTATAAATAGAATTCCATATCATACCAGAAGAGATCTCAATTTCAAGGAAATATGTTCTCTTAAGATGAAATATTATTTACTTATTTATTGTATTTAATTTTTGTTTGCATTGGGTTCATTAGAATTTTCTAAAACAGGGCCTCTGTAGCATGTTACAGCCTTCCATTCCAAAACTTGTAATTACTCTTTGTAGTTATGTTTAATGATTAGGCAACAGCCTGGATTGAATCTTTTCTTTTCCCTCCTCTGATACCCTGCATTACCTTCACTTATGTGATAATACCATATCTCTACGATCCTTCCTGACCTCGTGCTTGCACACCTTTATGGCCTTATCTCGTGACACTTTCTCCCTTGAAGCTATACACATACCAGACATACCAAGCTACCGCCCAATCCTTAGGTACTTCCCAAGTGTTTTTTTTTTATGCCTCCCTTCATTTGTATAGACTTCCTCCTTTGCTTAGCAGTCCAGTTCAAAGGCCATCTCCTCAGTGAAAACCTTTCTAATCAACTATCCATCTGCACCTTGCACCAGGCAGTACTAGTTATTTTTCCTTCTGATATCTCTAAATGCTTTCCACATGTCTCAGTACAGCATTGCTCAAATTATACTTTTAAGTTGGTAACATATCTGTCTCCTTAAGCAAAATGGATACACCTTAAATTTCAGGCAAAAAATATATATGTTAACTAAACTTTTATTCCCTAATGTGGCTGGCACACAACTGACACCAAATAGGAGCCCACTGACTGATAGACTGAATGAATGAATGTTGCTACCTAACCCAATTTAATCCTGAGAGTAGGTCCTGGGGGTGGGATTAAGTGAGGAATTGTCTCTGGAAATTTATAAAGATAATGGGATTTCATTTATCAAGAGGCAGAAAAGGGAAGGAAAAAAGTGTCTTGAGAAAAATAAAAAGAAAGCATACACTCATTCATCTGCAAACTATGTGCTCCCTGAATCTAGAATAACTTCCTCATAATACACCCAGGCCTACCTTGGAAAACTACAGTGTTAATGCCTTAAACCAACAGCTTTCTCAACTGTTCTCATTAAATTTTCTAGCTGTCTCAAGTTTTTGCCTTTGTTCAGTCTCATTCAGAAATAATATCTTCTGCATTTCCAGAGCACTTTGGGATGGCTCTATCTTATTGCTCACATTCACCTAAATATTTAAAATATCTGTCTCTTGTGTTATGAGCTTGGATTCCTTTGAAGGCAAGAATAATTCTTTCATCTTCTTTTGGTGTTCAAGACAGATGATTACACAATGTAAGGATGTATCACAGAAATGCTAATTACAGTGAATAGGTTGATATTGTTAGTATGTTAAGTAACAATTTTGTTCAATTCCTTTGTGCTAAATTGTACTTTGCTGTGCTATCAACAGAAAAATGAGATAATGCATGGATGAAGGTGAACTATTGGTATGGGAACTACAATGGAATAACCAAATTACATAGATCAAGGAACTACCTCCTTGAGAATGAGTCTATATAGCTTACTAATAACATACTAGATATTTGCATGTTACTCAGGATGCATGTCAACATGGGCATCATATTTCTCTGGCCCAACTGATTGATACAGAGGTGAGCACCTAACCTAACTCAATAAAATCACATGAATCTTGTGACATTAAGATGGTAATGGTTGGATAAATATTTTTGTTCTTTCCCACCAGAAAAACATGTTGGAGTATGTAGACGTGGGAACTGATGAAAGCTACTTTGGAACTACTTGATAATGGAGTCAACAAAGAGGAGCAGAGTACATGGTGGGAGTGATTCTGAAGATATCATTTAATAGCCTTTATTTAGGTACACCAGAAGCAAGATATATTCCTTCATTGTTAAATTACTTGCACCAGTAAGTCCTCATCTTTACTTAAATTTGAGACCAGATTTCAGTCACTGTTAGAAAAAGTGAATCCTAAGATGCAATTGAAAATAATTACAATATAAGCTACCATTGATTGTCTGCATAT
Source organism: Homo sapiens (assembly GCF_000001405.40). Lineage (NCBI taxonomy): Eukaryota > Metazoa > Chordata > Mammalia > Primates > Hominidae > Homo > Homo sapiens. The sequence goes on along the minus strand of NC_000024.10, from coordinate 8,818,609 downwards.
GTGACACATACTATGTTGAATACTTTGCTTTTGATATTTCATTTAATACCAATGACAACCCTATGAGTCAAGTTCTAGTCTTCCTGTTTTACAGATTAATAAATAATTTTATAAATGTTGCTCTTGCTCATAATAATAGGGCTATCAGTTGTTGAGCACATTGAGTTTGCCAGGTATTATACTAGGATTGATATACATGTTTAGATATTCATTATAAAATAATATATTGAGGTAGGCATTGCCACTAGCCTCAAGAAAATGAAAACTCAGAGATTATAGGACTTGTCCAAGTTCAGATATGTAATAAGCAACAGATAGAAAATTGAAATAATAACTTGTTGACCTTTGTTTGAAAGATATATTCATATTAAGGAGAACTGGATTCCATCCCTGCATTCAGCTCTTATTAAATTTGCAAGTCTGTTTTCTTTGAGCCCTATTTTCTTCACAGTAAAATGAAGACAATAACTCCACACATTATCTACCTTCCAGAGATATTAAGGGACTCAAATGAGAAACTAAATATAAAAGTAAGGCATAATTCCCCATAAAAATGTAAGTTACTACAGTCATTATAATTCAGTAATAAAAATGTGTCCCACATTCTGATGATTAAACATATCAAATCAAGAATTACATCTTTCTAAAACAGAAATTTATAGAGTACACTTTTTGTCATATTGCTGTGCTGGTTATCAAGAGATTCCCATGCCATTACTTTCATTGTAGTGATGTGTACAAATTTAAATTGGTGTTATTCAATTTATCACAGAAGGGTACTACATTATGTCACTTGGTGTCAATTATTTTCACCTTTAACATTTCTGTTGAACAATTTTTTATTTCAACATAGCTACCAGGTAGGAATGTACTGGAACCTAGAAACAAGACCATCGCTAAGGAAATTTGAAGACTGAGCTCACTTAGATATATCACTTATAAGCTGCGATCTTGATCAAAGTATAGATAAATTATCGGCCTGTGTTTATATCTTTAAGTTTGACAATTGACGATAATGCATACCAAAGAGAAATTGGAGATTTTCCTAGAAGAGAAACAAGTCTCATAGCCATAAATATGCTCTGAAGAAACAGAAGCAACAGAAGAAATCTCCTAGGAGACAGCTCAGATTCATGTCTCTGATTCCAGTTCTAATGGGTAAGGATAGAACTTGAACAACTTTACCTTCCATGAGAAGAGAATATGCAGAATCCTGGCTACAGTGAAGATGGAGCAAGAATCATCTTGTAACAGGAATAGTCAGGTGGGCAGTTGCCTTCCATGGAGGACAGATCACTGATGTTAGCAGCTTTGGGAAGGAAGATGGGTAAGAAGTTTACTCATTACCTTTATGTCATAAAGCAGAAGTTCTGAGGAAAAGGAAATCATCTCCCAACTTGTCTGTGCCTTCTACTCAACCCCTTTCTATCTAGTGTAGGGCAGAAAGGCCTCAGAGAGGTCAATGGGAAAACCAAGAACTGGACATGAAGCAGAGGATGGGTTCAATTGCCTGTAGAGTAAGCAGATGATTATTAACCATCTATACTCAGTATTAGGGTAATTTTTCCGAAATTCGACCAGAATTCCCTGTTCTCATGGCTCACTTCCTCACCTCCATTCCAAGTATTTACTCATATGTCACCTTCTCAGAGAGGTCTGCCTTATTTAAAACTGCAACTTTCCTCTGTTATGCCTTCTCCAATTCCTATCCTTTTGCAGTGTTCCATTATCTTTTATCGTTTCCCATAGCATTTAAGACACTATATAATTTACTTACCAAGTTTATTGGTTTTTTGTATCCCCTTCTCCCAATGAGAATGGACATATTGCCATCCGCTTTGTTTCCTAATGTTTTCACTGATGCACCACAATTGCCCACCAGTGAGAAGAAGAAGAGCAGCCCTGACATCAAAGAGCTGATGTGGTCATATCAGCTGGGCCTGGGTCTTGCTAGGTGCTGGTCTATCACTTATGGCAAGGTCTTGGTGTTCTTTTGTTGAACATGAACAATTTCACAGAGCAGCAACATCAAATAAGGCCACTCTGTGACCATGATGGATGAAGACAAAAGCAACACCACTCCATAATCACATCTAAATCCATATATAACAGAAACGTTGTTCAAGTCGGAAAAAAATGACCAAATATCCACCTATCTAGGCTGATGTGAGTGATCACTTCTTCATCAACTACCAATTTAAACTTGCTCTATTTTCCCCTCCTTCTGCATAAGACTTATTGAAATACCCCATCATAAAATAGCTCTTGCTTTCTGACACTGCCTTGCTTACATAAACCTTCCCTCAAGTCTCCTAACATAAACCCAAATCCTATAAACTATTTTCTTATACGTTACTAAGACATCTTATGGTATGCATTCCCCTTTCATGCTTCAGCGAAAAATAAACCCAAGTGGTTCAACCATGGAAGTGTTTCTTCTGGTCTTTGACTTGAGATAATGGGAGGTAGGTAGACAAACAATTTTCATTGAATCAGTTTTCTGGATATCCCACCTAAACCACAAAGGGTTTAAAATTATGGCTACTCCAGATAAATGTAACGTTCCAACTTTATACTTTGGTGCACCAAGCAATGTTAGAGCTCTCCTGCCTTTCACATTGCATTTCCTTATCTAGTGAACAAGGCAAAGTAATGATAACTATCCTCTCCATTGTCTTAGGATGATTTTTCTACTGTCCTGTAGTTATTAAGTGAATCTCTAAGTCAAAGTATGTGCCAGCTGACATACTGATTCTGGATATGAAAAAAAGACCCAAGCACCAAGCTGTCTTGTGACTCATGAGCCTTCAATGCCTATGGGAAATGCTGAAGATCATAAAACCAGAAAGGCAAAAGAAGGAAAACTGATGGAACAGGGAGAGTGTGGTTCAAAGGAAAAAGAAGGATTGTTGTAATGGCAACAGTGTTATTTCCATCTTTTAAAATAATTGTCTCCTCTGCCCCCATTTATTAAACGTTGATTATTTTACTATAAAGTTGGGAGAGGGCTCATATGAACAGAATATTGTAAAATATTATGCTGAAAAATATACATTTATGTCATAAAAATTATATCAAATATTTACAACTTGGGGTGAATGAATGAATAAATAAACATTTGTACACAGATTCTATATTTTTCTAAAACTGTTATAAACTGATTCTTTTTATTCCACCCCCTCACAAATTTATATGTTGAAAAATTATCACTTATGTGGTGGTATCCAAATGTAAAATCTGTATGATTAGGTCAGGGTGGTCAGGCCCTTATAAATGAGATGAGTGCCCTTACAAAATAAGCCCCAGAGACCTGTCTTTCCCCTTCTACCATGTGAGGACCCAGCTAGAAGGCAACATATATGAACCAGAAAGTGGCCCCTCACCAGATATCTCCTCCTCTGTCATCTTGTCCTTGAACTTCCCAAACTCCAGAAGTAGGAGAAATGCACTTCTGTTTTTTTTGTTTTTGTTTTGTAAGCCACCAGTTTATGGTATTTTGTTATAACAGCCTGAATGAACTACGACAAACATCAACTGCTATTCCCTCAAATAAATCATTATGGAGTGGCATCTGGAGGCATGCAATGTGTTCCCAAATCTGAAAATTGTTTAAGGGTATACTAAATACCGGGAATGAATGCATCCCTGGGTCTACGTTATCTGGATACTTATTTCAATTTAAAAAAAAATGTTAATTAGCTTAGAATAGTATCCATGTGGAGAAACAAAAACATCTGTGAAGGATATGAGAATTTTCTTCCAGTAATAGATTGGCTATTATTTCACACGAAAGAGGACACTAGTTCTATAAGGCCTGAAGAGACAATATTAGGATGTTAGCAACGAACATGTGAAGCCAAACTTTGGCTCATCAAAAGAAAGGTTTTCTCACAGATATATCTCTCTCAAACTGGTTTAGGCAGCTCTCTGGATATTGTGAGCTTCCTCACCCTGAAAGACATCAACTGAGACTGGATGACCACCTGGCAGGAGTGACGTAGAGGCCATCAAACACTATAACTCAAGTAGGAGAATATGGCATTTCCTATCCTCTCCCAGGCTGAGGAGTCTGTGAGACTATTAAAAAGAACAAATTGAAAAGTGGCACCAGTTGAACAGAAGTTAAGTGATTACACATTACACTTGACTTCATGCAATTAAAAAGTATGACCTCAGGTAGAATAGCCAGTTTTTCAGTTTTTTTCTGGCAGTCCTCAAGTATTTTATGACCAGAAGGTAAGGGCTATTACAATGTCCACTTCACTGTAGAGTTAAAAGAAACTTCTTATAAATGAGTCACCACTCTAATATCTCCTTGCCTAACAACACAGCTGCTACTTGACAATTTTTCTTTTTACATTTTTTCCCCATATTTTTGGACTTAATTCAAACCCAGTACTTTAACGTTCATTTTAGAATTGTAGTATAATAATCAATTCAGAAAAGAAAAAATATATGAGGAAAACGACTCTTCACATTAAGCAAGGAGGCATGGAAAGGAGGAGTGATTTGTTGCAGAATGGGAGTATTTACCACATGTCTGTTTTATACCAGACCCTGTGCTAGGCATTCTGCCTACATGATTTACTTTTCATGGTAGACCTGTGATATCAATAAGGTTGACTCTATCTAACAGAAACATACATTGGGGTGATAATAATATAGTTCACATTTATTGCATCCTTATTACCTGCTCAACCTTATTCTGAGCACTTTGCATGCCTTATCACTTTTCATTCCCATTGCAACTCGGGGTTGGTAGATACTTTCAATTTTCTCATTCTGCAGTTGAAGAGACTAAGATCCAGAGAGTTGTGGCAACTTTCTCATAAGCAGTAGAGCCAGGTTTTAAATCCAGACATTTTGACTCTCAACCATATTAGACATTTTAAGACAATGGAATCAGAAGTTTATATACTGCTATTTTAATGAGTCCTACGTACATGGTAAGAGTGGTCAGACGGTGATAGGGAGGATAGAGTGCTAAGTGGGAGCTAAAGTGCAAAGACCAGTGCTGAAGGAAAGACGTTTTCAAATATAGTCAGATTACCGAAAGGCAAAGAGCAGACATGTGCCTGAGTATGTTTTCTTACATCTAGGTCTCAAAGTGAAATTCAGAAAACATTTATGAAGAGCACTTGAGCAACTGCAGTTTCTTTTTCATGACAGCTTAAGAACCAGAGAAAACTATTGAATGATAAAGAGCAAAAGGTAGAATTGAGGATGAAAAAGAGTCTGGTGAGGCCAGTTTCCTTTCTGCCTCAATGTTCACAGAGGTAGATATAAGACTTTAGGAAGGACCCAGTTCCCTGTCTTTGATAGTGACTAGAATAGAGTTGGGAGGAAAACCGCATTCTGTACATTTGAAAAGCTTGCAATGCTATTCTTAAATTATTCTTTTAAAAATAGTCATAATGGAAAGAATTCCTAATGATAACCTAGATAAAAAAATCTGGCTTTCTGAATTATATGGAAAATTCTGCACAGAGTAATCCTTAAAACAACCATACCTACAGATGGCAGGACAGGATATGGGTTTTTAAGAGGCAGTGATCCAGCGTGTGCTGTTAGTTGGCTAGAGAGTTTTTCCCACAGGTCACAACCTGTGGGTGTGTAAGATTTCCTCAGTAAAACCACCTGAAACACATGGGGTTCTTGCTGCAGCACTTTCTCTATTCAGAAACAATGGGAGTTCAGTATAGTTAAGCTTCCAAGTAGAGCAGTGAAAATTGTAAAATTTTCATGGCTAAAGTGTCAGGATTCAAGCAAAGCTTTGATGACCTAGCTCTCAAACAGCAGGAATAACTGGAGAAAGCAAATAAAAGTTGCAGGAGCTTTGTTGAACTGCAAATAAACAGCCTCCCAGGGACAAGAAGAGAGAACACAAGATAAGACAAGCTGCAAAATTGAGTGAGCTACTTTGTCATTATAATCAGAAGTAGAAACAGATTGTACTAGGTGAGGTTTTGACCTCAGGCTACACATTTCCGTCTCTGAGCCATGGTTTTATTATCAGTAAAATTATACTCACAACTCCCCTACATAGAAAAATAGGCACAAAAGAAAATGTGTGATAAAACCCTTTAGAAATTTTAAAGTATTTAACATGCTAATGAAAACACTCAGTCCTTACATTGGGACTGTTGATTTTTTCTTAAAATAGTTAGAAGTTGCTGTTTTTCTTCTTTATGTAGTAATATTGACAGAAGAGTGAAATTAATTGTGTAGATTGTTTCTTCAATGTTGATTTCCATAAGTTCAGTAGTGGAGGGGTTTAACTTGCATTTGGAAGATTGCTCAGTAAAAGTTCTGTCCTTGAATGTCAAGAGAGGGTAAGAGAACAGCTGGGCAAGGGAGCAGACACTGAGCTAGTCAGGTTGACAATTGTGTTGCTGACTAAGGATATTAGAAAAGTCGGTGAGAGAACTCAGGAAATTTGATGCTTATGAAGGGATCAAACAATAGAGTGGGGGAAAGGGATTCTCATTAACCAAATTTATGGATGTATAAAATTGTATCTGCAATCTGCTTATCAACCAGTTCAGCCTAATCAGAAGGAAGAAAACTAAGATCTATGAGAAGTTGTAAATCAAAGAATTGTGACATTTTCATTGATCAGTACAAAAGGACCAATAGATCCAGAGTTATCAATCTATTCACAACTGAGCCCAGCATCAAGATGCCTGGAATAGATTTATACTAGTAATTCAATGTGATAGGGTCAGAAGAAAGCTGCAGTATCAAATTAACTAAAAATAATTTAAATCAGTTCCTTAGAAAAGTTTCTCCTGAATTATCACTCCCAAGAAATCAGGTTCCCTTATAATCTTTCATTGCAGCCTTTAGTATTTATTCATATTGCCTATGAGTTGTAATGATGTTTTCATGTTGTAGCAGGAGAAGCCATAGACAAAACCCCTCAGACACCGAGTTAAAGAAGGAAGTGGTTTATTTAGCCAGAAGCATCAGTAAAACTCCTGTCTCAAGAGGCTAGCTCCCTGAGTGAGCAATTCCTGTCCCTTTTAAGGGCTAACAACTCTAAGGGCGTGCACGTGAGAGGGTCATGATCGATTGAGCCAGCAGGGGGTACGTGACTGGGGGTGCATGCATGGGTAATTAGATCTGATCAAAACAGGACAGGGGTTTTCACAGTGCTTTTCTATACAATGTCTATAATCTATAGATAACATAACTGATTAGGTCAGGGGTTGATCTTTAACTACCGGGCCCAGAGTGTGGTGCTGGGCTGTGTGCTTGTGGATTTTATTTCTGCCTTTATTTTTTACTTCTTCTTTCTTTGGAGGCAGAAATTGGGCATAAGACAATATGAGGGGTGGTCTCCTCCTTTATTCCCCCCACCCATTTTGAGAATCTTACTCAATAGTGGGAGTTCTCACTTTCATTCTCATTACCCATGTCTTCATGCAAGACAGATTGATAGTGATTCATATAGTACACTTGTGCTGAAGCATTTTGGTGAACTATGATAGTGATGAAGCTTTTTATCATTTGAAGAAGTACAGATAGCAAAGAAGGGAGCAGTAAGCAGGATCCTATTACTATTGTAACTCCTATTATAAGAGTTTTAAATCCTCCTAGTGCTGGGAACCATTTTCCAAACATGGCCCCAGGATCAAATCCATGCCACACTTGCATGGGCACATGTTCCAGTTTTGTCATATCTCTAACTATGTCTTCAACTACTGGCCCCTGATCACCTTTGTGTAGACAGCAATTGGTAAGGTTAAATTTCCCACAGATCTTTCCTTCAGCTGCTACCAAGTAGTTGAGAGCCAATCTATTTTGATGATAGCATTTCTCTTCGAGTTTCTTGTGAGGCCAGAATAGTCAAGGCTCTGCCAGTTTTATTAGTGATTATTTCTAAGATATCTTGTAACCATATTATTCAGTTGATCATGTAAATGCGGGTCCAGTATTCACACGAGACATCTTGTGCCCAAGTAGCAGGCCCATAATATTGTATTATTCTCTCAGGAGGCCATTCAACATCTTTCCAATTTCCTATAGCTATGCTCCTCTTTTCGTGGGAAGCATAGACAGGGAAGCCCAGGAGTTCACCTGGTTTTATGGGCAGTAGGAAGAAAGATGGTTTAATAGAGCCAATAACACAACTACCTGCCCACCAGTCAGGTAATTTGGCATAAGCTACATGCCCACATATCCAGTATAATCCAGTGAGGGCTGTCCAGTCCCTGTGGGACTCTGGGTGGGTCTACACAATTTGCAGCTTTGGGAATTTACTAAATGGATTCCTCTCTGTGTGATTTGAACTCTACCAAGTGACTGTTTTTGTGGTACCAGTTGACAGTTTTTTTTCCAAGACAACTAAGTTGTCCTAAGGGGTGAGTTAATTATTTTCCTTCTCTAGCTATGAAATATTATCCAATAATTAGGCTTTTATGACCCAGGAGTTATCAGGGTGATTCTTCTGAGCCAGGAATTGCGTCTGTATGTACTAATTCTTGGGCTTTCCGTGGCCATAGATCTCCCATTACAGTTTATCCACATACATAACATGAAGTGACATTGAGAGACTAGGCTGTATGCTCGGCTAATTGCAAAAACAAATTTCTTGTTTTTCCTGGAATTTTTGGTACTGGCACATTTAATTCATCATAGAAAGTTTGACACACTTGCTCAGGAGAGTGCTTGTAAACTTCTCCTTGAACCAAGATATTTACTGGAGGATCCAGTCTGGCCCCATTGATTCCTAAGGCCACACACTCCCCCTTTTTCAGCGATGATCAAGGGGATTGGTTTTTGTTAGCTCTAAGGGGTTACATTGTCCCTTGGTACAGGAAGGTCCATTTTTCCCTTTCTGAAGGTGGACTGAATCCCTTTCATTTTTTATCCAAGTGGTCCACATGAAACAAGAGCAGTATCCACATTCATTTCCACAGAGTCCTAAATCATGACAAATGTACTTATTTTTGGTCATATAGCCTTTTTTCCAACAAAAAGAGCCAATCCCCTTTCTAACTTATTGCTATTAATGACAGCACAGGGATCAAATTTCAAGATTATCCTTTCAGGCTCCTCTTTTTCTTCTTTATTGGCTAATACTTAACTTGTATCATTTATGAGTCCCCACCAGTCTTCAGTCCTTAATCTTATTTCAAAAACTGTGGACATGGGAGGCTCAGAGGGGTCCTAACACACATCTGATCAGTCATTTCCTGGGCTACATACCTTGTACTGAGTGTCATTATATAAACATTTTCCTTTTAAAGTTCCTAGGCATTCATAGTAACTATAGAACAGAAATATTGTTTTAACTTGTTGCCCTAACTTGGTAACCTGATATATACACTGACAGCTGTCCTCCATGTGGGGAAAAACAGTGGAAGTTTTTACTACACAAGTCCAAATTATAAGGAAAATGAGTCCCATGATGATTGTTCTCATGCTTCAGACATTCATAAAACAGTCAGCTTCTGGGTGTGACTGGAACAGGTCTTATTGTCCTCCTCAGAGTCGCTTTGCTGGGTTGTCTGGGCTCGGTTTTGCCTCCCAGGTTTCACTGGCTGCAGGTTTCACACAGCTGTGGTGGATCCAGGCTGGGATTCCTTCTACGTTTACAGCCATGGGGGTGGTCAGGATGATGATCTGAGGTCCTTTCCACCGTGGCCCCAAAGGGGCTACGTTCCAGTCCTTGGTCCACAAGCAATCACCTGGAGAGAAAGGGTGAACTGGGCAGAATAAGCTGATGGGACACCTCTCATTTACCCAAGTTGAGATTGTTTGTGTAATTTTTCCTAAAGCCTGTAGTTGTCGCTGTAATTCAATTTCACCTAACTCTCTGGGAGTGCCTGGAAGCTCCCATAGTATAGGAGGAGGCCTATGGTACAGTATTTCATAAGGACATTATCCTGTTTTCTTAGAAGAAGTGCATCTAATTTTAAACAATACCATAGGAAGGGCTTGTATCCACTTGAATCCTGTTTCCTGACTTACTTTCCCTAAACAATTTTTGATAGTCTGATTCATTCGCTCCACCTTTCCAGAACTCTGAGGTCCATAAACAGCATGTAGCTTCCAAGTGAGTCCTAATGCCTTTGCTGTCTTCTGTACCAAGTCAGGCAAAAACGCCAGCCAGTTATTTGAGCTGATTCATAAGGGCAGTCCAAACCTAGGAATAAGATTTCAGAGAAGCAGATGTTTTACCTCGTAGGCCTCTTCAGTTCTTGTTGGATAAGCCTCCACCCACCCAGTGTAAGTACACAGAAGAACCCGCAAATACTTGTTACCTCTACATTGCAGCATTTCTGTGAAATCCCCCTGAATATCCTCAAAAGGAGCTGCTCCATAAGCTTGTATGAATGGTGGAACTGTGGGGCCTTGCCTCGCATTGGCTGTTGGCAAGTAACACACCATCGTGCTACTGCTTTGGCAAGTGCTGGCAAGTGTGAGATGTAGAAATACTGGCCTAACAATTCCTCAAGTGACTCTTGTCCTAGATGAGTGTTTTGTGCATGTTCAATACGACTGTGACTCCCAGCAACTGTGGCAGAGCTACCCTCAAATCTGGCAGTCTGATCCATCCTCCTTTTATTACTTGCCCCACTTCTGCATGGAAGAAGTCTTTTTCTACCTTAGAATAGGCAGATACCAAGTCAGGGATTTGAGGGAGTAAGGGGATAGCTACTGATGCCCAGTAAGAAGTAGATGCTGCTTTTTGAGCTTCTGAATCAGCTCAAGGGTATCCTAAGGCCACTGAGGTGGAGGATCACTGGTGTCCACTGCAGTGCAAGACTGCCACCTTCTGAGGTTTCCACACTGCCTCTAATAATTTTAGAATTTCTTGTTGATATTTTATGTTCTTTCCCTCAAAGTTTAACGGCACTTTTCCTTACATAATGCTCTATGCACATGGAGGGTTAGAAAGGTGTATCAAGAGTCAGTGTAGCTGTTTACAGTCTTACCTTCACTGAGTTCCAGAGCCCAAGTTATTTAAGCAATGAGTTCAGCCTTCTGGGCTGAAGTGTCCTGTGGAAATGGTTTGGCTTCAACGACAGTGTCCAATGTTACCACCACATATCATGCACATCTTTATCCTTGTGGATTGATAAAGCTGGTCCCCTCCATGTATAACTCCCAGTCTACTGATGCCCATGGCTTGTCCCGAAGGTCAGATCTGCTAGAATTGACTGAGTCCAACACCTCTACACAGTTATATGCAATCAGTCTCTCTGATACTGGAAGCCTGGTGGCAGGATTTAGGGTGTTACAGATTTCAATATCTATGTGCAGATTTTCACATAGCAAGTTTTGGTACTTGGTTAATAGAGCATTTTTTAGCCAATGATGTACTTTCGTGTTCATCAAAGTTACCACAGATGGGGGGCCTTTTCATTCAGGTTTTGCCCAACGGCAATTTTATTTGCTTCTTGTGCTAACAGGGCTGTTGCTGCCAGGGCCCTTAGACATGGTGGCCAGCCTTTGGAAACCCCATCTAGTTGTTTTGAGAGGTAGACTACTGGCCTTGGCCAGGGCCCCACAGTCTGAGTTAAAACTCCAACTGCCATTTTTTCTCTTTCTGACACATAGAATGCAAAGGGCTTTGTCAAATCTGGTAGTCCTATGGCGGGGGTCGACATAAATTTTTCCTTTAACTTACAAAAGTCTTGCTATTGTAGAGGCCTCCATTCAAAAAGCACCCAGTCACCCCCCTGTGTAACCCTGTACAAAGGTTTTTCTAGTACTGCAAAGTTAGGAATCCATAATCTGCAAAACCCCACAGCTCCTAGGAATTCCTTTACTTGTCTTCTGGTTCTAGGTTCTGGTAGGCTGTATATGACCTGCTTTTTTCTGACACCAGGCCGCGCTCCTCTTTCTGAATAGTGAATCCCAGGTAGCATACCTGCTGTCTGCAGATCTGAGATTTCTTCTTGGAAACCTTATACCCATGGTCCTAAAGGTGCCAAAGCAGGACACTCTTCCCTTTTGCACACCCGACTCCATGGAGTGACCCAGCAGATGGTTGTCCACGTACAGGATCAAGATGCAGCCTAGGTCTTCAGGAGGAAACTTTTGCAGGTTTCAAACCAGGGCCTCCCCAAAGATAGTAGTGGAGTTCTTGAACCCTTGGTGGAAGCAGGGTCCAAGTGTACTAAGTAGTGACACCTGCTTCCAGGTATTCCTACTGAAAGGCAAAGAGGTTCTGGCTCTCAGGATCTAGTCTGATGCTAAAGAAGACATCTTTTAACTCCAGACAGGTAAACCAGCTGTCCTCAGCCAGCAGCAGCCCTAAAAATGTGTAAAGGTTAGGAACTGTTGGGTGCAGAGTCACTGTAGCTTGGTTGACCAAGCGCAAGTGCTGTACTGGCTGGCAGTCTCAGGGACAGGCAGGAGGGGTTTGTTCCATGGAGACTGGCAAGGAACTATAATTCCATAGGCTATCAAGTACCGGAGATGAACCTGGATTCCTTTGAGAGCTTCTCTGGGAACCAGATACTGCTTTTGTAGAATTGGTTGGGCTTAACTTTTATGAGTATGGAGGCTTTGTTGACCATCAGTCCCAGAGGATTATCCTCTGCCCATACTTGGAGCCATCACTTAGCTAGAGCTGTTTTTATCTCTTGGCCTAGGTTGGTTAGAAAAAGTCTCCATTCTTCTTCCCTGGGGACTGCAAGGGCCATGATAACTCCTGTTCCCAGTAACTTTAGCATAAAGAGCCCTGTTTTGTAAAGGAGATGGTGGCTCTCAGCTTGCTAAGCAAGTCTCTTCCAAGCAAGGGCAGATGAAAGTCACACATGTACAAGAACTGGTGAACTATCTTAGGTCCCCCCACTGAGCAGGTCCGTGGTAGACAGAAAGTGTGCTTAGTGGAAACTCCTGTTGCTCTGATTATATCAATGGTTTTCTTGAATAAGGGGGTGACCAGGGTGGTCACTACTGAATGTTCAGCACCAGTATCAACCAAAAACTTAATGTCCTTGCCTCCAGTTGTAATCCTGACCTTGGGCTCCTTAGGGGTGCTTAAGCCTGGCCCCTTTCAGTCCAGTAGCCCTTCAGCCAGCTTGAACAAAGCTCCCTTGTCTTTATCTGAGGTCTTTTGCTCTGAATAAACTTGCTTTTCCATCATTTGGGGATACTTATCTTTCCAATGTCCTATTTCCTTACAATAGGCTCATTGGTTACATTGCCAGCATTGGTGGTTAGACTGGGTATTCTTCCCAGAACACCCCTTTCCCTCTCCTTTCAGGGGAATTCCCATAATGGCTGTGGCCAATAAGTAGGCATTTTGACTAGCCTTCCTTAAGGCTTTCTCTGTGGCTTGTTGCATCTCTATTCATAAACACTTGATTGGTTCTTTCCAGTAAACATGAGGTATTCATACCTGCAAACTCAGCCTGTTTCTGCAATTTTCTCCTGATATCTTCTGTGCTTTGACTAACTAAGGCCATATTAATCATACGCTGATTTTCAGGACTAGCTGGATCAAGAGGAGTGTGCAGACGGTAAGCCTCACACAGTCTTTCATAAAACTGTGCTGGACTTTCCTCTTTTCCTTGGATGACCTCAGAGACCTTATTTACATTTGTAGCCTATTGAGCCCCTTTCTTTAGACCTTCTATTAATGCCTCATGGTACCATCTTAGCTTCTCCATGTCTGGTCCCTCATTCCGGTCCCACTGGGGGTCTGTTCCTGGCAGTTGAATTCTTATATACTCTTGGGGGTTTTGGTAATCAGCTAGGACATGCTCTTCTAGCCACTTAGTTCCCACCTGGAGCACCCTTTGCCTTTCATCTATATTAAAGAGGTACATAAGCAGCTGGTGGCAATCAGCCCAAGTAGGATTATGAGTCTGTACAATGGTTTGGAGCAAGTCAGTTAAAGCTTGAGGCTTTTCAGTGTAAGATAGAATATTATTTTTCCAATTGAGGAGGTCAGTAGAGATGAAAGGTTGAAATACAAAGGCACGCCTTTCCAACATGTGTCCATCCTCATCTACCCCAGTACATTGGTGCTCTCTCAGGGACATTTGGATTCCAGTCTCAGGCTGTAAGCTAGCTGCCAAGGGAGGAGTTTCTCCTGCAGTTTCTCTTCCTCTTTTGTCTAGTCTGGGTGGTCTAGGGGTGTGGTTATCTGGTGAAGGTGGAGGTGCTGTGGGCTTAGGGGTGGGGAACACTTCCTCTTGATAAGGAGTGGGTACTTCTGGTATCAATTCCTGCCATGATTCTTCTGGTGTTGGGTCGGACAGGACTTTTGGTGCCGACTTCCCTCTGTGGGTGGAGAAAGAACCTTCCTTAACTAACTCTCCCTTTGCTACTACTACTGCTGCTGCCTGTCCTCTTAACTACTGTGGGGGCTCCAAAACCAACTGTAACAAAGAATCTATATATGGGACTGATCCAGGTGCCCTAACTTACAGGTTACCCTGTGCCATACCTTTGAGACAAGGGACATGCCCAGGCTTCCTTCTGATGGCCAACACACCTCTAATGCTGGCCAGTCTATCTCACACAAAGTTCTAAGTTTTTCTGGTGTCATGGTGACTTCATAGTCTCCCCTAAATCCCTTTTTGAAAATTTTCAACATAGTTCCTAGTGGGGTGGGCTTAGTTTGTGCCTGATCCACGTTTCCTCTAGACAATACACCATGCTTACACCACACGCACACCATAAAACAAAGAATGGGTAAAAAGGGCACACACACACTTTTACAGTTTACACCAAACCAGAATCAAAACCAAAATCAGAGTATCAAGAAATCCAAGTGAGGTCAAATCCAAAACCAAAGTCTCAAGCAATCCAAGTCAAGTCAAAAAGAAAAAACAAAGTGCTGTACAGACACACCATGGGTTATCAGGCCACGCTTCCACTGAAATGGAGTGGGCAAGTTCCCAAGACTAGTCTTACCAAGTTTCAGTTATCTGGACTCCAAGTGCCAGTTCCTTCCCGGTGTGCAGGCACTGTGTTGATACTCCACAGGGCCCTGCCATGCACCGCTTTGGCAAAGCATTCCACCAGGGCAATTGCCTACCTGGGAGCACTCTCAGGATCTGCATCCCTCCAGTGGGCCAGAGTCCCCCACAGGGATGCTCCACAGGGCAGACCTAAGCCACCTAAGGAGCTGACTCAACTCTCCATTAATCATCTTGCTTCTTGGTGAGGGAACCAAGAAATGTAGCAGGACATGCCACAGACAAAACCCCTCAGACACCGAGTTAAAGAAGGAAGCAGTTTATTCAACTGGGAGCATCAGTAAGACTCCTGTCTCAAGAGCTGAGCTCCCTGAGTGAGAAATTCCTGTCCCTTTTAAGGGCTCACAACTCTAAGGGGGTGCCTGTGAGAGGGTCTCGATTGATTGAGCAAGCAGGGGGTACATGACTAGGGGCTGCATGCACAAGTAATTAGATCGGAACAAAACAGGACAGGGATTTTCACAGTGCGTTTCTATACAATGTCTGTAATCTATAGATAACATAACCTATTAGGTCAGGGGTTGATCTTTAACTATCAGGCCCAGGGTGTGGCACTGGACTGTCTGCTTGTGGATTTTATTTCTGCATTTTAGTTTTTACTTCTGCTTTCTTTGGAGGCAGAAATTGGGTATAAGACAATATAAGGGGTGGTCTCCTTTCTTAATGTGACTGTTTATTTAATATCTGCCCTCTTTCCCCATTAACAAGCTCATTGAAGGTAGGAACTATAGAGCTTGATAAATGATTAAATGGAGTAATATAAAAAATAAAATATCAAGCAATGAGCAAGGGCTATCTTTTTTGAACTACAGTGGATGATTGACTGGTACTCCCTTAGAAAGTAGTTCAGTGCCTAACAATGCTTACAGAAAGAATACACAGTCATCAAGTACAGTTTACTTGAATTGCAGGCATAGCTCCTGGTTAAACAGAGAATCCATTCCAAAGTTTCCTAAACTTTTCTGAAGATAAAAATCACCCCACATACGTGATTTACCAAACTACACTTGGCCAGGCCTCCGAGTGACTGAATCACAATCTCCAGGTAAGGAGGCTGGAAAGCTATATATTTGTCAGTCAACCAAGAATATTCTTAGCAGCAAGAAAATTTGAGCAAGCCTGATCCATAATAAAGTGCCTTTAAGTTTGTTCCTTAATTATTCTGCATTAGAATTACTTGGGGGCAATTCTGAAGTGCACAGCATCCTAGGATATATGCCAGACTGACTAAATAAGAGGCTCTGGAAGGGGTACATAAAATAAATTTACATTAAAACAATATTTCTGCAGTTCAATTCAATGGATATATATCTGGATCAAAATTTGATAAACTTTTTTTCTACAAAGGAACAGATAATAAATATTTTCACCTTTGCAGGCCATACAAATTCTGTTACACTTATCAACTCTGTCATATTACTGCAAAGCAGTCATAGATAATAGTAATTAACAAATGGGGCTACATTCCAGTAAAATATTACTTATAAAAGCAGGCATCATGTTGCATATAGACTTTGGGCTACAGTTTTCTGACCTCTCATCTAAACCATTTCAAACTGATTTATTGATGCTAATGCCTATCCTTTCTTGATTCTAAGGCACAATCAATTTTAAGATATAACATCTAATTTTAAAACAGTGTGTAGATACCTGGTTAGCCATATGCAGAAGAATTAAACTGGACCCCTACTTTGACAATATACAAAAATTAACTTAATATCAATTAAATATATAAATGTAAGATTACATATTATAAAAGTCCTACAAGAAAACTTAGGAAGTACCATTCTTGAACATTAGCTTTGGCAAAGAATTTCTGGCTAAGTTCCCCAAAGCAACTGCAACAAAAACAAAAATTAATAAGAGGGACTTTTCACTCACGTCCACGTGAAGAGACCACCAAACAGGATTTGTGTGAGCAACAAGGCTTTTTATTTCACTTGGATGCAGGCAGACTGAGTCCAAAAAGAGAGTCAGTGAAAGGAGATAGGGGTGGGGCAGTTTCATAAGATTTGGGTAGGTAAAGGAAAATTACAGTCAAAGCGGGGTTGTTCTCTGGTGGGCAGGGGTGGGGGTCACAAGGTGCTCTGTCGGGGAGCTTTTGAGACAGGATGAGCCAGGAGAAGGAATTTCACAAGGTAATGTCATCAGTTAAAGCAAGGACTGGCCAGTTTGACTTCTTTTGTGGTGGAATATTATCAGTTAAGGAAGGAACAGGCCATTTTCACTTTTGTGATTCTTCACTTGCTTTGGGCCATCTGGGCTTATATGTGCATGTCACATGATGGTTTAGCTTGGGCTCAGAGGCCTGACAGGACTTAATGAAACTAAAAAGTTTGTTCACCACAAACAAAGCTATCAACAGAGTAAACAGGAAACGTAGAGAATGAGAGAATTTATTCTCAAGCTATGCATTAGACAAAGGACTAATAGGTGTAATATAAAGAATCTATAAGGAAATTAAACAAATCAATAAGCACAAAAAAAACCATTAAATAATGAGCAAAAGACATGAACAGACACTTCTCAAAAGATATGTACAAGTGGCCAAGAAACATATGAAAAAATGTTCATCATCACTAATCATCAGAGAAATACAAATAAAAAACACATCAAAATATCTCACACCAGTTACAATGGCTGTTATTAAAAAGTCAAAAAGCAACAGATGCTGGTTAAGTTATCAAGAAAAGAGAAGACTTATACTCTGTTGGTGAGAATGTAAATTAGTTCATCCACTATCAGAAGCAGTTTGGAGATTTCTCAAAGTACTTATAATGAAAATATCATTGGATCCAGCAATCCCATTGATGTGTAAATAACTAAAATAAAATAAATTATTCTACAAAAAAGATACACGTACTTGTTTTTTCATCACAGCACTATTCACAATAGCAAAGACATGGAATCAACATAGGTGCTCAAAAATTGTGGATTGGATCAAGAAACCGTGGTACATATAAACCGTGGAGTGCTACACAGACACAAGGAACAACAAAACCATTCCCTTTGCATTGACATAGATGCAGCTGGAGGCCATAATCATAAGCAGATGAATACAGGAACAGAAAACCAAATATACGTTCTCACTTATATTTGGAAGCTAAACATTCAAAACACAGACATAAAATAGGAACACTAGACACTGCAGACTACTAGATGGGGGAGGGAGGCAGGATGGGTTGAAAAACTACCTATTTTGTACTATCTTCACTACCTGGGTGACAGGATCTGTAACCCAAACTTCAGCATCACATAATATACCCATGTAACAAATCTGCACATTTACACACTATATCTCAATAAAAGTTGATTTTTTTTAAATAATGGGCTTTATGAAATGTTATCAAATACACATAAATGCCTGTTGATTATATTACATCCTGAAACTTGCACCACAACAGGCCAAGACTCTCAGTTCATCTTCCATCTCCACAGTGTTCTAAGCCCAAATAATCTTTCACTGTATACCTTGGAACTCTCTGTCTATTATTAACCATATCTATTTTATTCTAAATCTCCCTTCATAATGTTTATCTTATATATATTCTCTAACTTGATTTTACATTACCCTTCAGAACCCTGATTCCCATTTACCGCTGTAAGTGAAAGTTGTTTTCTTTCTTACACTCCTCATATCTGTAGGCTCAGAGATTGGAGTGGATGTCTTCCTATTTCTATTGCCATTTTCAAACCTTTCATGTCTCACTTCAAAATCCCCAGATCCTGTATAGTGTAAGCCATCAAATCATACCAATTGCAATTCTTGTTTTAACTATGAAGCCTTCTCTATTTTTCTTACCATTTATTGAACGATTTGTCCCCTAAATAATTTATATGCCTCTCACCATTCTTAGTGGCTTCAACACCTATATCTTAGAAAATTCCTCAAAGAATATGATTTCTCTGATGTAATTTCAATCCAAATGTCATCCATCCAACCTTAGTGATATATGCCTATGGTTATTTCTCAGACATTGTCATTATTTAAATTTTTATCTTCTCCAAAGTATCAATATTTTATGTCATTATCTGCCACCTCATATTCTTCTCACTCCCTCTAGTGCCTTGAAAACAATTATTTGACCACAATGGGACTACCAACACATTGACTGTCTCTATTAATTCCTCTTCATTAATGTCACTCACTCCCAGGCATTCAATCCCGACTATTGTTTTACTTTATTCCTTCATTCAACCTGCTCCTCTTTAGAGAAAAACCCTTCAAAAGTGTTATCTATATTTTTGGTTTCAAATTAACTCCCTAGTCTACTCCAGTTACACTTTGGATCTCATTATTCCATTTTTAAACAGTTTTTTTCAAGGAGACCATAACCACCCTCTTGCCATGTCCCATGGTCAAGTCTCATTCCTCATCTTATTCAACTTCCAGTCACATTTGACATCACAGATCACACCCTCTTTCTTGCAACATTTCCATCATTTGTCTTCTGGGCCACTACTCTCTTAATTTTCCTCCTACCTCCCTGACAACTCCTTCTAAGACTCTTCCTGATTTCTTTCATAAACCTCAAAACAATTGGGTGCCCTGGGACTCATCCCAGAAGGAATCCTCTTTTCTTTTCTGTTTATATTCACTCTTGAGATTATCTCAACAAGTCACATAGTTTTAAATACCATCTGCATACTAGTAGCTCTCAACTTGCCAATGTGCAATTTTAGCCCAGAATTATCTCCCAAATCTGAACATGTATATTGAGCCGATTTACCTCTCTATTTGGATGTCCAATAGGCTCCTAAATGCTAACATAATCCAAGCATGATCCTTTCACAACTCCCCAGCAACGCTCTGCTCTTCCCATAGTCTTCCTTATCTCATTAAACTTCAACTCCATGCTGGCAAATGCCTAGGCTTAAAACTTGGCGGAGCTTGCAGTGAGCCGAGATCCCGCCACTGCACTCCAGCCTGGGCGACAGAGCGAGACTCCGTCTCAAAAAAAAAAAAAAAAAAAAAAAAACTTGGAATAATTTTTTAGCTTTCTCTTACACTACACAATTAGTCCATCAGCATATGCAGCCTGGCACATCTTCAAAATACATTCATAATCTGATGACTTACACTGACACCCATGTTCACGTCATAATTGTTTCTTTTCTGAATTGCCTACACTAATAGCTTCCTAATTTGTTTTATGGCTTCCACTGTCCCATGCCCCAATGTATTCTATACACACTGTAATGAGAGTTTCATTTTTAAACAAGTGCTATTATGATCCCCCCATGCTTAAAACCATCAGATGGTTTCTTATCTTACCAAGAATAAAATTTAACCTCCTCAATGTGGTCTATAAGGTCTTGCATCATCTGGGCTCTGGCTAAGTCCCTAGTTCTCATTTCCTACCACTCTCCTACTCACTTACTTTGTTTCTGTAGCAATAGACTCCTTGCTGTTCATTGAACAAGCCAAGCACATGCCTATATCAGAGCCTATGCACTTGTTGTTCCCTCTACCTGGAACTCCCTTTTCTCCAGATAACTACACAGCTTCCTCACATCACTCAGGCCCTCCCATCATTCAGGTGCCTGATAAAATGTTATATTTTTAGAAAAACTTTTCCTAAACCCTCTGTATTAAGTAGTATCCCCCTATCTACTTTTATTGTCTGTCAACTCTAAAAGAATATAAACTCCACAAAGGCAGAAATTTCTACCTACCTTGTTCACTGCTAAGCTCCCAATCCTTAGTAGCCATTCAATAAATGTTAAGTAATTAAATGTGTAAGTAATCTTTAAAAGGTCAAAGAAGACACCTTCTAAATGAGAAAATAGCTTCAGAAAATGATTTAAATAAATAATAAAGCAGGGAGAGAGGCTGAGGTGGGCAGATTCTCTGAGGTCAGGAATTCAAGAGCAGCATGGTGAAACCCCATCTATACAAAAATTACAAAAATTAGATGTGCATGGTGGTGGTCAACTGTACTCCCAGCTACTCAGGAGGCTGAGGCAGGAGAACTGCTTGAACCTGGGAGGTGGAGGTTGCAGTGAACAGAGATTGTGCCACTGTACTCCAGCCTGGGCAACAAGGTGAGACTCCATCTCAAATAATAATAATAAAATTATAGCATGTTAGAGATTTAATCAGTAACTTAAATTAAATGCACCAAAAATTTTAAAAGAATCCAAGGGTGGCATTGTGGAGCTATTAGTCAAAAAATGTAAATAGTCATTAAAAATGATGAAAGGATGATAGTTGGCATCTATAAGAGTTTCAGTGGAGATTCTAAAGTTAAGAATGACAAATCTTACCTGGATATGAGGCAAGTTAGTGGGAGATAGATATATAGATTACCTGCTTTATTCAAGAAGACACAACACATTCATGAAAAGAGAATGTGCTTTCTATAAGTATAATCATGTTCAGGTGATTAACATGATTGAGCACTTCATAAATAACTGTGAATACCTAATAAATGAACAAAATATAACAAGCAAATATATTATTTTCATTTCCAAAGTACCTTCACATAAGCTTCAACTGGAGTTACCGTGAAGTTGACAAGCCTGTTTTTGCCATGAATAGACAATTGCCTTACAAAACAAGAAGAAAATAATAAGGGAAAATTGCTTTGGACAGAAAGTACAAATGGAGAAATTCCCAGGGTTCAGTATAATCTGACAGTTTTTATAAGTGATTTGCAGGAAAGAATGCAATTGACACTAACCTCTTCTGGGGATAGTGAGATGCCAAACTGACAGGGACAGAATGCAAGAAAATTACATAAGGCTACATCAAAAAGGAACAAAATTATAGATAAGATTCATTATTGACAAGGGCAAGAAAAAAATTCTCACAATTCTATTTCAAGCTGTGAACTGTTACTTTTTTATTATTATACTTTAAGTTTTAGGGTACATGAGCACAACATGCAGGTTAGTTATGTATGTATACATGTGCCATGTTGGTGTGCTGCAC
Source organism: Homo sapiens (assembly GCF_000001405.40). Taxonomy (NCBI): domain Eukaryota; kingdom Metazoa; phylum Chordata; class Mammalia; order Primates; family Hominidae; genus Homo; species Homo sapiens. The sequence goes on along the minus strand of NC_000024.10, from coordinate 8,796,727 downwards.
CCATCAACTCATCATTTAACAAGAAAAATTTGTATGTCTTTGGGCCCTGTTTTTTTAGAAAAAAACAAATTCTAGAAAATATTAAGCTTTATTAGAAAATATATTGGAATCAGCCAAAATGCAGCATCTAATTGACATACAGGATTGTGGTGCATGCACGCCAGGAACATAGTATTATCACATGTCAAATAAGAGATAAATGAGGTGAAAATTCAGAGGAAGGCAACAGAAGTGATCATTGAAAAGAAAGAAGTGCCATATAAGAATCAAAAGACTGTGTGTCTTTCACCTGAAAGATAAAAATACTGAACATATATTATTGAAATCTGAAATATCTTGAAGGGGGGGTGGAGAAACAGGGTGTAGCCATGTTTACCACATTGTATTATATCAAAACCAGTAGGTCTCTCTTGAAGGAAGAAATAAAAGTAATTTTAGGGCACAGAGAGGGCAATTCCAGTATAGATAACAAACTTATTCATCTATTTACAGATTTCAAGAATGTCTTCCATGCATCAGATACTTCAAATTATGGAAAAATATTTTTCATAGAATATGCACAGATGGGAATGAAAATTCAGAGATTAATATAACATCGATGATCCCTACATGGGCACCAGTCTGGAAGGAAAGAAACACGAGTTAACATATAATTATAATTTTACCCTACCAGATATACCTGCAAATATCTCTTCAATTCCATTTAAATTTCTACCTCCACTAAGCTAAGCCACCTCTGCATTTCTTGCTTGAACTACTTAAATATACTTTTATATTTATAAACATCTTCCTTTTCCAACTCCTTCTCTTGAATTCATTCTCCTTATAATATTCAGAACAATTTTAAGAATTAAATCATGTCAGTACACACTTCTGCATAAATCAGAAATCTTTCAGTATCATTCCACTTCTGCATGAGCTGTGCTATTTCTCTCAAACTTCATCTCACACCCATAGAATATCCCCCCTTTATTTTTCTGACATTGACCTTTTTATCTGTTCCTATAACATACCAATAAGTGTCTGACTTTGAAGTATTTGCACATTTTTTTTTTTTTTGAGATAGGGTCTTTTTCTGTCCCCAGGCTGGAGTACAGTGGTGTGATCTTGGCTCACTGAAACATCTGCCTGTTGGGTTCAAGCGATTCTCCTGCCTCAGCCTCCCGAGTGGCTGGGACTATAGGCGTGTGACCCCACACCCAGCTAATTTTTGTACTTTTAGTAGAGACAGGGTATTGACATGTTGGACAGGATGGTCTCAATCTCTTGACATCATGATCCACCCACCTCGGCCTCCCAAAGTGCTAGGCTGGGATTACAGGAGTGAGCCACTGCACCCGGCTGTTGTTTCTTTTTATCTGGCACATTCTTGTGTTTGTTTTTTGAGTGAATAGCTCCTTCTTATCCTTCAGATATCAGCTTAAATTTCATCTCTTCAAAGAACACTTTTCTGTCCACTAATCCACACTTCCCGTCCTGTCCCATGGGCTCTAATATCAAATAACGTTTCCTTCCTTCATTGTTCTCAAAACAATCTATATGTTTATCTACTTGTAATTGGTCTATAAGTTCCACTAGGGCAGATACCATATCTGTCTTGCTTGTCTTTGTGTCCCCAATATATAGTTCCAGTACATTGTACATAGAACTTCATAAATTGGAATTAAAAAAACAAATACATAAATATGATAACGTCTATAAAAATGATGTAGAACTTTAAGCTACTTAAGAATGATAGCATCATTCACACTATATTTTTTATATATTCATGCGTTATGAATAGCATTTCACATAAATTAACCTTGAAGAGAGAAATGCAAAAGAAGAAGGAAATTTTCCATCTTACAAAACTACATTACTTTAAAAGGTAATGGATAGTGAAAAGATGCTTAACTAAGTTCATGGATAAGTAACTACGTTGTGTTATTAATAGAAACTAAGATGTTTGGAATGACATCATAGCCTTTGAGGTCTGTATTAGTAAGACACTCACACCCTTAATCATCATTCTTTTAGTTCCCCATGGGCCAGACCCAGGCAGAAACAGATGATTTTTTTTTTATGATCTCATACTCTTATTATATTTTCTATTTTTCTTTTCAATATTCTGTAATTTCTGACATATACTGTAAATATTTACATCTACAGCAAATAACATGTTTATTTCAAAAGAACTGTCAAGGGTATAAGATTTTAAAGAGTTATAGTTTACAACAGTATTTTTAATGAATTGAGTCATATTAAAATTTTATTTTATTTTTTACAATTTCAACTTTTATTATAGACAAAATGCTGTGTGTGCAGCATTTTACCATAGATAAAATTGTGTATGTGTGGAGGTGTACTTACATGGGTATACTGTGATGTTGAGGACTGGGGTACAAGTGATCCTGTCACCCAGGTAGTGAGCATAATACCCAACAGGTGTTCTTATAGCCTATGCCCCCTTCCCTCCTTTCCCCATCTAGTAGTCCCCACTGCCTCTGGTTCCCATCTTTATGTCTATCTGTATATGATGTTTACAATGTATACAAATTATTGTATACACATAGATATAAAAATGGAAAGAATAGACAGGGGATACTACTAGATGGGTCCAATTTCTATCTTCTGCATATGGATCACCTGTTTATCCCGACATCATTTATTGAATAGGAAGTCATTTCCTCCTTGCTTACATTTATCAATTTTTTTAAAGATCAGATGCTTGATCAGAGAGCATGTGTGGTATCTTGTTTTCTGTTCTTGAATTAATCTGCTTAAGATAATGGCCTTCAGTTGCATCCATGTTGCTAGAAAGGATATGATTTTGTTCTTTGTTGTGGCTGTGTATTTTTCCATTGTGTATGTGTACCACATTTTCTTTATCCACTCCACCATTGGTGGGCACCTAGGTTGATTCCATGTCTTTTTCTATCGTGAATAGTGCTGCAGTCAAGATGCCACTCCATGTGTCTTTTTTGTAGAAAAATTTGTTTTCTTTTGGGTATATACTCAATAATGGAATTGCTGGGCTGAATGGTAGTTTTGTTTTAAGTAGTTTGTGAAATCCCAAAACTGCTTTCCAGAGTGGCTTAACTAGTTTATATTCCTGTCAACATTGCATAAGCATTCCTTTTTTTTCCTACAACCTCACCAGCATGTGTTATTTTTTGGCATTTTAGGAATAGTCATTCTGACTGGTGTGAGATGGTATCTCATTTTGATTTGGATTTCTTTTTCTCTAATGCATAGTGATGTTGAGCATTTTTTCACGTTTTTTGGCCACTTGTATGTTTTCTTCCAGAAGTGTTTCTTCATGCCTGTTGCCCATTTTTAAGTGTATTTTTTGGTTTTTACTTTATGATTTAAATTTATTTTAGTTTCTGAATATTAGACCTTTGTCACATGCATGGTGTGTGTTTATATCACTGACAGTTTATTTTGCTGTACAGAGGCTCTTTATTTTAACTATGACACTCTTGTCAATTTTTGGTTTTGTTGCAATTGCTTTTGGGGACCTAGCCAAAAATTATTTGCCAAAGCTGATGTTGAGAAGGGTATTTTCTAGGTTTTCTAGAATTTTCAATAGTTTGAGGTGTTATATTTAAATCTTTAATCCATCTTGAGTTGCATTTTGTGCATTATATAAGGAACGAGTCTAGTTTTACTCTTCTGCATATTGCTCACCAGTTTATCCCAGCACCTATTATTGAATAGGGAGACATTTCCTTATCGCATATATTTATTGATTTTGTCAAAGATCTGGTACTTACAGGTTTGTGCCTTTATTTCTGGGTTCTATAATCTATTTATTAGTGTATATTTCTCTTTTTGTACCAATACCATGCTGGTTTTGTTACTGTAGCTTTATGGTATAGTTTGAAGTCATGTAATGTGATGCCTCCGACTTTGCTCTTTTTGTTTAGGATTGCTTTGGCTATTTGGGCTCTTTTGTGGTTACATATGAATTTTAAAATAGTTTTTTCTAATTCTATGAAAAATATTATTTGTATTTTGATAGGGATAACATTGAATCTGTAAATTACTTTAGCCTGTGTGACCATTTTAACAATAATGATTTTTCCAATCCAAGAGTAAGAATATTTTTTTCTTTCATTTATGTCATCTCTCATTTCTTTCAGCAGTGTTTTGTAGTTCTCCTTGTAGAACTATCCACCTCTTGGGTCAGGTGAATTCCTAAGTGTTTCTTTTCTTTTCTTTTTTTTTTTTTTTTTTGATTACTGGAAATGGGATTGTGTTCTTGATTTGGTTCTCAGCATCAACATTATTGGTATATAGAAATGCTACTGATTTTTATACATTGAGTTTGTTTTCTGAAGCTTTACTGAAGTTGCTTATTATTTACAGGAGGCTTTTGGTGGAGTGTTTAGTGTTTTCTATATATAGAATCATTTTCACCACTAAAGAGAGGTAGTTTGACCTCTTATCTTCCTATTTGGATGCTTTCTTTTCTTTCTTCTGCCTGATTGCTCTTACTAGGATTTTCAGTACTATGTATAGAAGTGGCGAGAGAGGGCATCCTTGTCTTGTGCCAGTTCTCAAGAGGAATCATTCCATTTTTGCCCATTCAGTATGATGTCAGCTGGGGGTTTGTTATAGATAGGTGTTATTATTTTGCATTTTGTTTCAATATTACACTAAGGAAGATAATATTTCCTCAAAATTCAAGCCACAATCTCTCTAAATTAGATGCAAGCTCTTATTTTTTTGACTTCTCAGTACATTTGCATATTCCTCCATTTTGAAGTACATTTGTTCATTTGTTCAGAAAATGTTTATAAAGTCTATTTAACAAATAGATCTAATGTATCTACCATGTCCAGTTCTAACTTTTATCACTACTGTGTAGATAATACATTAGACCATTACTATGTAAACAATCTAACGCTGAAGCCATTTTCTTTGAGACCAGAGCATGTAGCTGATTCTTTTTCTGCATATCTGTCTGGCAGATCTCCTAACTCAGAGTTTGACACATAAGAAATGCATGTTAAGGAGACTTGATTGAATCAAAGCAGTCCCTCTAAGAAACTCCCACGGATTTTGATTTCTACACATTGACTCTAGACTTAAAATATAAAAATCACATAAAAAACAGATAAAGTCGCTTCTGGTGAGCATTCTATCTCACATTTAGCTCAATAAAATGAATATAGGAGCAAACTTAATGAATATAAAATCTTCACACTAACATTGCAAGTTGGGGATTCAGCCAAGAAAACAATTATGATACCTTATAAAATTGTTATTCCTGAGTGGTTAAATTGATGTTCTGAATAACTGCTGTCTCTTAATCTAGGAAATATGCTGGACCTCATTAGACTATGTTAGCAAGACGAAATGGCAGAAAAAAGAAGAAACTTTTAGGTTCCTAATATATACTTGCATAATAATTGTTAATGGCTCCTCAAATACTGTTAGAATCTTTCAAACACACTTTTATGCTTAATATGGCCCCAAATTTGTATCTACTTGATCAACTTAGCAGATCATCTGGGGAAACTAAAATCCTGTAGGTAAATTATGAGCAGTTTTAAATGTCTCATGTTACATGTTCACTAAATACCATGCTAGAAAGGCATTTTAATTGCTGACATGGTGACTTGGACAATGATGTGATGCTTCTTTTTTTGTTCTGTTTTGTTTTGTTTTTGAGATGGAGTCTCGCTTTGTTGCCAGGCTGGAGTGCAGTGGGGCATTCTCAGCTCACTGCAACCTCTGTCCATGCGTTTCTTCTGCCTCAGCGTTCCAAGTAGTCAGGATTACAGGCATGCACAACCACATCCAGCTAAATTTTTATTTGTGTTTTTTAGTGGAGATGGGGTTTCATGGTGTTGGTCAGGCTGGTCTTGAACTCCTGACCTCGTGATCCACCCGCCTCAGCCTCCCAAAGTTTTGGAATTACAGGCATGAGCCAACGCGGCTGGCCTAACCATGTGCTTTTTAAGAGGTATGGCTTAATTGTTCGATCTCTGTTATTTTTTAAATTTTAATATAGAAAAAGATGATTTTTCAGGTATTCTAAATCTACTGAGTGCTCCCTGTTTTAGTAAATGAGATGAACAATTTCCAGTTACAGAGACATTGTGTTATAAAAGAAAACATATACTTTTTGATCTTAATCATTTAAAAAATATTATATATACTCACCTATTTTCAGAAACAATTTTATCTAAATTAAGGTGACCAGATTATAAGGTATACCGAGATTTGATTGATACTGTCTATAGAAAGCTGGTTTTTATTTAGGGGTTTATCTAGCTTTCTCTTAACAATCTCACTTATTATTACTACTATTATTATTATTATTATCATTATTATTATTATTATTTTGGATGCTTTCTCACCACTGTAAAGTGAGACTTTATACTTTCCCTCTCAAGAGCTATTAGTTCCCTTTTTAAAATAAAATTAAAAAAACATAGCTGTGTAGAAAAGACAGCATACTTTATCTTATATTTCCTGTTTTAAGGGTTATGATTCAAAATTTATTTACATACTTGGTTGATGAAATTTACCATCAATTAACCAGAGTAATGAGGTGAAGCATCCTTCTGTTTTAATTACACAATCTCTGGTTACTTAATCTTAAACCATTTAAATTCACTGGGAACCAGAGGACCCAACTCTACCTAGAGATATCCTGTTTAGAAATATTAAATATCCAAGAGCTTTAACATATGACCTGCATTTTAAAGCATTCTGAAAGATCAATTTGGAAACTCTGATTTGTAAATTGAATTTCTTTGTGATAAGAAAAATTAGCATGAGATCTACCCTCTTAACAAGTTTTTATGTGTACAATACAGAATTGTCAACTATAGGCACAACATTGTGCAGTGGATCTCCAAAAGTAGTCATCCTCAGTAAATAAAACTTTACCACCATTGATTAGCAGCTACTCATTTTCCCCTTCCCCTACTCCCTGGAAACCACCATTCTACAATCTGTTTCTGTGAGTGTGACTATTTTATATTTCTCATGTAAGTAGTATCATGCAGTATGTGTTCTTCTGCAACTGGCTAATGTCACTGAGCATAATGATTTTGCTTCAACAAATGTGTTAACATGCCCACCTCAGGCCAGGTCCTAATTGCTTCAGGCTCAGTACATTGTTTTATTTTATCAGTTTCAGAATGGGCCCAGAGTCTGACTGTATTGCTTTCAGCATAGTTCCAAGGTTGGATGACATCACCTTCAGACTGGGTCCAGGATATGACTGCATTCTTTTCAGATTGGTTCAATGGGTGGATTATTTGCCATTCTGGCTGCATCCAGGTAGTAACTGTTTGAGGATAAGGTTGAATAACATTTATTCTTACATTGTTTCGGTTCTGAAACCAAGCACTCACAGTATTAATGTCAGATATGTTCAATCATTTTGCTTGAATATGCCAACATATTATTTTATCAACCCTGCAGGGACCTCTCATGGTGCACCACCTGAGCGAGGGCCTTGGATGTCTTATGGTGGAAGCAGCTGCCATGATTATAACAATACATGAGATAGATACGGCAGAAGTCAGGAAAGTTGCTCAAGGAGCTATGGCGATTTTTATTCTTGTGGTCATGAGAACATTGGCAGAAAAGACCAAAGGAATCCACCTTCTCTGGATAGGGTGCACTCTGCTCCTCTTGAAGCATATGGTAGTTCAAGTTATGTGCCATCTACAGGAGATGGTGGGGAAAGTCAATCTGAAAAAGGCGACTAAAGCGGATTTTAAAGCAAGTATTCAAAATAATAGTTACTGCATACCAAATCTTGTTTGCAAATCGAAACTTGAAATGTTATTTCTGCATTGTTACATGCACATTACTGAAAGAAACATGTTGATTTTGTGAATTTTCTGAGGTATTCAAAGAAAAAGGAACTTTTTTCAGAGTAATATCATACTTGTTAATGCTATTTGAAAACTGTGTGTTTAGATGTAATATCTACATTAACATTTTCAGCATAAAATTTTACATGTAATGCAAAATGACTGATGTTATTGCATAGCTGCACATGATCAAAAGCAAATTTAATAGGAGAGTAAATTGTATTGTTTGTTGAACATTTTCCTTTGTTTCTTTGAACATAAGTATATACAAAATTAGGCATGTGATATGTCTCCCTTGCAGGCTGCACAAGTTTTCTGATTAGGCTGTTTCTCACTAAAAACATATAAGCTTAAAATATTTGAGAAGTCTTGAGAAAGCCTCCAAAACTCTCTCCCTCACCATAAAACGTTTATTTTTTAGAGGAATAGTACATGACAAAAGAGATAATTAGATGTGCTAGATACCAAAGTTTAAGACATCTGTAATATTCTACTTGAAGCATTCTGTGGCTGAAGAGGGATAATGGTAATGAAAACTATTTTTTTACATAAAACAAAAGTGAACCAGCAAAGTTTCTCAAGTACATAGCATAATGAAATTAAATGTTCATAGTTTACATAGTGGAAACTAAGTGTTTTGTCTGGGGAGGTACTCATATTAATTTTTTCTTGAAAGTTTTGACAATGTTTGATGTAAGTAATGGTTTAGTAATAAGTTCTTACAAATAGAAATAATTTAGAATGGTTGAGACTTTATCAATTGTTTTTTTGAGATGGAGTGTAGTTTTGTTGCCCAAGTTGGGGTGCAGTGCTCCATCTTGGCTTACTGCTACCTCCAGCTTCTGGGTCCAAGTTATTCTCCTGCCTCAGCATTCTGAGTAACTGGATTAGATATGTGTGCACCACAGCTGGCTATTTTTTTTTTGTATTTTTAATACAGACATGGTTTCACTATGATTGCCTGGGTGTTCTGAAAATCCTGATCCACCCTTCTTGGACTCCCAAAGTGCTAAGATTACAGGCATGAGCATGTAAATTGGTAAAATTTGGACAAGATCTCAATTTTTATTAGGTAAAGGTGCAAATAATTTTAAAGAGAGAAATTACCAACTTTGATTTAAAAGTGAGTTATTCATGTTATGAAGTTGTGTTTTCATTCACCTATAATGTAGGATTGTGAGGATGAAGTGAAAACACAAAACTCTGTACTCTTGTGTATCTTACTGTCCAGGCATGATGGCTCAAGTCTTCAATTCCAGCTCTTTGGGAGGCCAAGGCTTGTAGATCACTTTAGGTCAGGAGTTCAAGACCAGGCTGGCCAACACCATGAAACCCCCCATTTCTACCAAAAATACAAAAATTAGCCGGGTGTGGTGGCCCAAACCCATAGTATATTACAGTTAATTGTGAGGCTCAGGCAGGAGAATCTTTTGAACCTGGGAGCCTGAGGCTGCAGTGAGCCTATATTGCACCATGCACTATAGCCTGGGTGACAGAGTGAGACTCCAACACAAAAACAATTACATAAATCAACAAAAATATAAATAATAATTATGGTTTCCTTCAGTTCAAGCACTTATCATTTATTTTTTCTTTTTTAGACACAGGTTCTCACTCTGTTGTCCATCCCGGATTGCAGTGATAACATTGTAGCTCACTGCGGCCTTGAACTCCTGGGTTCAAATGTGTTAGCCTTCCATTTGAGCCTCCCAATAGCTGGAATTACAGACAAATGCCACTGTGCCCAGCTTTTTTGTTTGTGTGTGTGTGTTGTATGGACAGGCTGGTCTCAAACTTCCAGGCTTACATGATCCTCCTTCCTTGGCCTCCCAAAGTGTTGTGATTATAGCCATGAGCCACCGAGTCTGGCATACCATTTGTTGGTGTGAGTGACATTCCACCTTCGCTCTTTTAATTCTTTTGAGATACACATTAAATCATTAAGTGTACTCATCCTGTGCTACTGAACACTAGATCTTATTCCTTCTAAAGAACTATAATTTAAGTCACCCCAATCCCCTCTTTGGTTCCTTCGTTACCAGTACATGGTGCTTGTATCAAAATATCGCATGTATGCCAAAAGTATCTACAACAGTTTTGTACAAATATTTTAAAATAAGTAAAAAATTAATAAAAAGGGCATCTCCAACAAACTGATAAGATAGGCTCTAATTTGTTCCTCCATTCACAAAGCAACAAATAAAAAGCCACACCGACATCAATTCCCTATGAGATAAACCCAGAAACTAGCTGAGATACTCTTGCATATAGGATTATGAAAATACTCTCTTAAAAAGAGGTAAGAAAAACTGAATCATGGTCTTGTTCTGGAGTTTATGTCTGTCCCAGTGGTCTGAAATCAATAGGGAACTGTTATTTCACAGCTTCTCTCAGAGGACTGAAGTGTTAAGCCACAAATGTAATTCCCCAACTGTTACAGCTGCTTCTCAATAAAATGATTCCTAACTTACCTATCTCTGGATTCTAACACAGATTGGCATTCATAACTCTCCTAGGACCTCCAAGATAAAAGAGGGATTTAAATAGATACTCAAGCATTTCTGAAACTGTTTCCTCCTAGCTTACTGGATCTCAAGCAGTCAAGGAAGCTCAGCTCCCACTTTGTGATTCAAAGAACTTAGATTGTACACCTAATGCCTTGACTTTTTTTTTCTTTCTTTATTCTTTTGAGACAGAATCTTGCTCTGTCACCTAGGCAGTAGTGCAATGGCATGATCTCAGATCACTGCACTCTTCCTCCTGGGCTCAAGTGATTCCCCTGCCTCAGCCTCCCAAGTAGCTGTGATTACAGCAACCACCGCTATGCCAGGCTGATTTTTGTATTTTTTAGTAGAGACAATATTTCACCATGTTGGTCAGGCTGGTCTCTAACTCCTGACACCAGGTGATCCCCTGCCTTGGCCTCTGAAAGTGTTGGGATTACAGGCATGAATGACCACACCCAGCCATGTCTTGATTTTTATAGCTTCTTCCCAGGTATCTTGCTTCTGATTCTGACTTTTTGATCTGTCAAGGTCCTCTGAGACTAGGCATATAGGCATTTCTCATCTGTCTTCATCATTACTCACTCTAGCAATATACTGAGCTTCTAAATTTTCCCTTGAAGAAGTCAAACTACCCAACTATTGCCCTGACTTATCAGGTGGCTCCCTACGAGTTTGAATACTGACTTGCCAATCCCTGAAAGCTAATGAAGCACAGCTTTTTATAGTCTCAGGATTCTAAAGAAGAAAAAGGATTGTGTTACAGCAGTTTTGCATGATTTTTAAACTTGCCTATTGATATATTTTGGACATTTGTGACTCCAAGCCTCAGAATGAAATGTAGTCTTCACACTGCAAATGGCATCTAGTCGGAGGTGTTCCTGTCATGGGGCTGCATCTCTCATAAATGGCTTGGCACCTTTGCCATGATAAATAAGTGACTTTTCCAGTGTATTACTTCCCACAATGGAGCTTACATCCAAATTGGTTGTTGAAAAGAGCCTGAGACCTTCTCTCCATCTCTGTCTTGCTCTCTCCACATGTGACATGCCTGTTTTCCTTTTACCTTCTGTCCTGAGTGGAAGCCTTGTGGGGCTCTTACCAGATGTGGATGCTGGCACCACACATCTTTTACAGCATGCAGAACCAGCAGCCAATGAAAGCTCTTTTCTTTATAATTTTTCCAGTCTCATATTCTTTTATAGGAACACAAACAGACTAAGATGTGTATCTCTGGCTGATAACTTGCACATATCAGTAAGCAGTGGAGCTCCACATTCACTATTCCCTGCATTCCGTACAGGACAAAGAGGTGGTTTTCAATGGTCCTGTGAGCTCTTCCTTAAACGCAACCCTTGGTTTGCTCTAGCTTTCAGCTTCTCCACGGAAGCACCCCAACCTTTTAAACTCCTCCCTTATAACCAGTTTTTTTTTAATATCAAGTCTTACTCTGTCACTGAGGTTGAAGTGCAGTGGTGTGATCTCAGCTCACTTCAGCCTACATCTCCCGTGTTCAAGAGATACTCCTGCCTCAACCTTCCAAGTAGCTAGGACTACAGGCACGTGCTACCATACCAGGGTATTTTGTTTTTTATGTTTAGTAGAGAAAGGATTTCACTGTGTTAGCCAGGATGGTCTCAACCTCCTGACTTAGTGATATGCCTGCCTTGGCCTCCCAAAGTGCTTGGGTTACAGGTGTGATCCTGGACCAGTCTTTTAACTTGCCTGTTTCTAGGGTCTGATGTGACATAATAGGCATTCTGTAATTCTGTTAATTCCCACCCTCTCCACAAAAAATCAAAACTCACAACTTTCCTTAGACAAAGACATCTTAGTGAATGATTCTATAACTTGGGATTTAATCTATGACAACTTTTTTGATTGTAGAACTGAAAATAGCCACATGCAGGATAAAATATCAGTTTTAATTTGATGTTTTTTTTCCTCCCCAAGCCAGCAAAGTGTTGCATACAAAATTTTTTTCCCAGCCTCGCAGTTTCTTCAGAGAGGAGAGAGTTGAAAGCGTACATTCAACTTTTTCTTTTCTATTTTGCAATTTTTCACATGATGTTCTCTCTAGCCTTACCCGGTAGGAAACATTGGAGGTATCAGACAACTGGGGTCAGTTAGAAAATAACTACATGGATGGGGCTCACACTGACCATACAGTAATCTTACTGTTGGCTTTGCATTCCAGCCAGAGAGGTGCTGTTTCAGAGAAACTAGGCAACAACATCATTCTGCAACAACCAGCCGTGGTTGATGGGTCTGCCAGGCTCAAATCATTGGCCAACTGCCAAATCCCATCCTGGTTTTTTTCTGCAAAACAGCCAATGCTGTGACAAAGTGGCAGCTTGGTGATTATCCACAGAAGGGGCATGTGACCCCACCCCATTGCAGCAGCCATACTTTTGACCATCCTAGCCCTGTGTGCTCCATCCATCCCCAGGCTGAAAATCGGAGGCAATTTAGTGGTTAAGGATGAAGTTTCTGGCCCTACCTGGACCCAGCAGGCAAGTAGTTTTATAATAAGCCTTGGTATCCCTGGAAGGAACTTCACTTCTGATAAATCTAATGGAAATAACTTGGGCATTAGAATCTCTAGAGCACATGATTTTATTGAGTAACAGAGAATCCCAGTCTCAGCTCCAGACCCTCCCACTGTGGCTCGGAAGCAACTACCATGCTGGGGAACTTGCCAGTCTGAGCCAATAAATGTAGTCTATCCAGGCTCTGTCCAGCAGAAAATGGACCTAGACTCTCTAGCCTATGTCCCCTATAGGGAGGAGACACTCTCAGCCCTGGCCTTTCCCTTAGTCAGGGAACTATGTAATCCTTGAGAAAATTTCTGGGCAATATGAAAGGTGTCAAGGGAGCTGATTTTCAGCCTCAGGCCCTCCTGCTGCTGGCAGAAAGCTAGCATATCTATGCAGAAACCTTCCAGTAAGCATCACAGCCAAAATTACAGTCATCCCATTCTCTGTTCCACAGCAGAATCAAAGTGGATCCAGTGTCAGCTCCAGCCTATTCAATTTCAATTTTTGAAATGGAGTCATTACTAATAAATAACCTACCAGCCAAAAAAAAAGAAGCCCAGGAATTGATAAATTTGGGATGAATTCTACCATATCTACAAAAAGCTGCATCATATTCCATTGTGTGGGTGAGCCCAGTTTGTTTAACTGGTTATGTATGTATGCTTACACACACACTGACACATACACACACACACAAAACATACACAAATATGCTTCATGTTCTCTCAAAAAGCAGCAATGGAAATGCCAAGCAGGCCTCTGGTATTTTCTGAAGGCTCAGTGGGGAAGGACCCACTCCTTTGCCTGCATTACATTGCTGCCAGCAGCCTTACACAATGGCAGCTTTTCAGTGGTTTCTTACAGCCCTCTAGAAAACCTGCAATTATGTTTATTTATATGGTGTACAATATATTCATTAGCCTTTCTCTCTAAACTTTAGGCTGGGTACAGTGGCTCAAGTCTGTAATTTCAGTACTTTGTGAGGGTGATGTTAGAGATCCTAGGAGCCCAAAAGTCTGAGATTACAGTAATGTATGATTCAGCCTGGTGACAAAGCAAGGCTCCACCTCTCAGTAAATAAATGATAAAAATACAACTGATAATAATATTTTTTGTTTTACCATTTGGAAACATAAATTTCATTGATCAAAAATATGTATATTCGATAGCCACTGACACAGCACATTTGCTTGTGCATGGGAACCAATGCAGGAAAGCAGAGGGACTGGATGCTCTTTCCTCTTAATTCCTGAATACACTTTTACTGTGATGATAAGGGGTGAATTTGGATGAGGAAGGCTTTCTGCCAGATCCATAAAAATTGTGGCAATAAAATCCTCAAAACATCAGGAAACACAACAGTCTTTACTGGTAATAGTAAGTGTAAAATGTTTTCCATATTTGAATTCATTTTTAATTCAATGTGGATTAGGCAGCATAACACAGACTACCCTGCCCCTAGTAGCATGCAATTTGAAGACAAATGTCACTTAGATTTGGTTGTTGAAAACTGCAAGTATCTTAGTTAACACCATAGTTACATGAGTAATTTTGACAATATACACTAGCTTATTTTAAAGTTTCTGTGAGTCCACTGGAGACCTTAATATTATTTTAAACATAATTCAAAAACCATGTGGATAATGAGCAAATGGCAAGTTTTTATTTTTATTCATTTCCCTTTGGTTTTATGCCTTTCATTCTCTCCTTCGTTCCTTCCTTCCTTCTTTCCTTCCTTACTTCCATCCTTCCTTCTTACCTTCTTTACTTCCTCCCTCCCTCCTCCCTCCCTCTCTCTTTCTCTTTTTCTTTCTTTCTTTCTTTCTTTCTTTCTTTCTTTCTTTCTTTCTTTCTTTCTTTCTTTCTTTCTTTCTTTCTTTCTCTCTCTCTCTTTCTTTCTTTTTTCCTTTCTTTCTTTCTCCCTGTGTCTCTCTTTGATTTTTGTTTTTAGATGGAATCCTGCGCTGTCACCTAGGGTGGAGTGCAGTGGCATTATCTGTGCTTACTGCAACCTCCCCATCCTGGGTCCAAGCAATTCTCCAGTCACACCCTCCCGAGTAGCTGTGACTGCAGGCATACGACACTAATCTTGTCTATTTTTCTTTTTTTTTTTTTGTACTTTTAGTAGAGACCTGGTTTCACAATGTTTACTCAGGCTGGTCTTGAATTCCTTTCCTCATGTGATCCACCCACCTCAGCCTCTCAAAGTGCTGCGATGTCAGGCATCAGTCACAATACCTACTCAGTTTTATGCATTTATCTCTTCAGTGATCTCTCCTATTTTATTATTTTATTTTTATTTCTGAGACAGAGTCTCAATCTGTTGCCAGGTTGGACTGCAGTGCTGTGATCTCACTTCTTTGCAAACTCCATGCCTGGGTTTCAGTGGATTGTCCTGCATCAGCCTCCTGAGTAGCTGTAGTTACATTCATGGGCCACCATGCCCAGCTAGCCTTTGTATGATATTAGACTTGGATTCATGCCATGTTGACAAGGCTTATCACAGACTCCTGACATCAAGAGATCCACCCACCTTGGCCTGCCAAACTGCTGGGAGTGCAGGTTGAGCCTCTGTGACCTGCCTCATACCTGTTTTAAAGCTCAGTTGATAAGCAATATTGTCTTCAGAAGAGTCTTGATGGTTTGATTTTTTCCAGGGTATTAGCACTAGTGACGTTCACCTTTAAAGTTCTCCACAATTACTCAAATCAGTACACAACTCAGGTTTTCTAGGAGTCTAAACTGCCTTTCAAAATTATCTAAAACCTAGTGACTTAAAACAATAATTATAGTTTACTCTCAGTCTGCAAGCTTCCACAGTCTATCAGCCAAATGATTGTGGTTCAGGGACACTCAGGAGGGTGCAATCTCTTCATGACTCAGGATGTGGACACTGTCAGGTGTCTTCTCATCTCCCTGGTGTCATGGCTAGCATGACTCAAATAGTAAGGGCTGGACTGCTGAGATCCTCAGGCATCTCCTTTTAGTTTTATGATTCTCTCCATGGGTTGTTCTTTCTGCATAGTGTTATCAGGGTGTTAGACTTTGTGATATATTGGTCTGGGGCTCCTGAGGGGTTTGTCCCCATGGGATCAAGAGACTTAGGCAGAGCTGTGTCACATTTTCTAACTTAGGCCAGAGGTGGCCCAGTATCCAGAAAATGCTTGCCCTGTTTTCTGTTCCTTAGAAGCAAGTACTGTGTTCAGTCGCATCAGGAATATTTTCAAATGGGTTTGCAAAGAATTTCAAAGTGTGTTTTAGACCACTACATTGGCCATGACTAAAAATTACTTATTTTTATAAGTGATGGATAGCTTTTACCCCACATAATAGCAGATACAGACTTTCAAGCTTGAAACCTGTATGTCATAGCTCCAAACATTTGGTTATATGTTGAAATATCTCTCAAGCAAAAATTTATTTTGAAATGAGAGCTATAAATAAATAAAATAAATGAGATAAACTCATAAGTATCTGGATGAAATGCTCATAAAGAGGTCAGCCTTAAAAATGTCATGAGGTCTAATGTACCACTCTTTTACTAATTCTATGTATATTACTTGGACAGGAGGACAAGGACTCAGGTGTCTGCTGGTCATTCTCTGCACCTTGAAACAGTGGCTGGGGCACCAGGAGTAACACTTTCAGCCAACATCGTATGCTGAGGATGTGGAGTCCATCCTGGTTAAGGAGGTTGTCACTGTATATATATATATATATATATATATATATCTCACTATATCAGAAACTCAGTAGTCATAGTGAAATCAAAAAATAATCACAGTCAATTTGATCTCATACCTAGACTGAAATATGAAACTTCAAAAGACAATAAAGTTAAGAACGTGGGGCTTTTCAGAATTTTCCTATATAGATAAAATTATTGGTGACTTTCTCTAAATTAGAAAACATAAACAAAAATCCATGCTTTCTATATGTGTAACTAAAAATATTTTTATTTCTATCAGTTATGACATGCAAGCAAGTAATAAAGTGAAAGTACAATAATAAGCAATAAAATAATATAAAGAAATTTATCTGTGTCAAAAAATTCCATTGCAGCTATTAATTTTACAAAATCATAGAAAATGCTTCATGAAACTACATTATATAATACTTTTTAGTATTTCACTTACATTTTAAATAATCAATAAATTAAAGGAAATTCTGAATCATTATTTTTTAGCAATATCATTGTCCTTTTGAGATTAAGGATTTTAAATAAAACATTAAAAACAAATTGTATTGACTGATACCATCTTTCAATGAAATAATACTTCGTATTTGTAGTCTTGTGAAGTATAAATTTCTCCTCATAGTGGATCTTTTATAACACCAGTGTTATTATTTTCTCTGATACAAACCCTGTGATATTTCATGGCTTTACTGTATCCATACATTACCTGCCTCCAGACAGTAGGCTTCAAACAGATGGAAAAATTATATTTGTGACAAAATTCTAGGAAGGGGAGTGGTAAAACAGGAGAATAATTTCTAAATTTCTAACTGTTCTTCAATGGATTTGGATATATTTAGATATAGACAAATATTTGTACGCTGCAAGTTTGCACATGTGTATATAAATTTATATGAGATGCCCATAATATATGGTTTGTGTAATCTTTTAATTCTCAATTTTACATATAGGAAATTTGGTAAGAGTTTACCCTCATCAAATTCTCAATTTGAAGTACTATACTCAATTTCATATAAAGCCAACACACTCTCTGTCAACATTCATTTCAATTAATCCAATAAGGTCAACTGTTGATAGCTTCATTCTCCTTGTACTCTGTTAGCAGCCTGAAAGTTGATTCTCACTCTAATTCAGCGCTCAGGGAGCCACCCACAAAAGATTATCACTTTGCTGTGGATTGTGACCTCTGACTCCAACACTTTCATCCTATAACAGTCCTACCTTTGCATATTTAATGACCTTTGTACATGTTTAAAAAAATCAAAGTATAATGAAATGTCAGGCCGTGTGGTGGAATGTTCCATTGTTTCTGTATCTCCAATTGACCTTTCATTTTTATAGAAGATAAGAAAAACAATGCAGTACATTTCTTAGTATCCAGTGCAATGCACCTTTTCTTATTAATATGCCAAACTCATCCCTTCAAGGCACTGACATCCAAAGACAGTTGGATGTATCAAAATCTCTTCTCATTAATAGCCATTACGTTAATTACTGTTGCCAAGATCTGGAAACTGACTGTGTAATCTTTGGTTGGAAATTGTTAAAATGGCTCAAACTACTGGAATAACTATTTTTTGGGATAATTACTGCTGTCATCTTACTGAAAAATACCACATTAGATAGCAGCTTTTCGTTAGATAAATCCTGTTAATTTTTAATGTCCATCATTTATGATATTGCACATGTAAAGATCTTTGATAAATGATTAGCTGAGCAATGACTAAAATAACTCACAGCAACTCAAACATTCATTTACTTACTAGAAGTGCCATACATCATTAACTTCTGATGAAAACAAAGTTGGGAAATTGCAAGTGCTAAATTGGTTACTGTAGTATGTATTTCAGGGTATTGTATAAAACTATCCATTCCATGTATGATATGTCACTTGCAAGCATAAAGCTTTAGGATATACATAAAAAAGTCTTTGGTTCTTAATATCTCTCTACATTTGTTTTCCGGCCCCAACACAAAAACATCTATGTACTCTATTCTTAGCTGAGTTGACTACGATTTATTAGGGCTTAAGTAAACAGAATAAGTATTTCAAAATTTGTTGGCCAAGTATGAGAAATCACACTCTCAACATAAGAAATAATTATTCTCAAGTGCCACTGCAAATGCAAAATTGAAAGAAGAAATTAAGTCTAACATATTACAATATTCTAAAATCTAAAATTTCCTCTTTGAGGTCTGGTCATTCATGTCTGGAATTTCAGCCCTTCAGGAAACTGAGTAGGGAGGACAGCTTCAAACCCAGATTTTGACACCAGAACAGGAAACATAGTAACAGCTATCTCTAAAATGAAATTAATTATTTAATTAATTAAATTGAGCATGATGTCACACATCTATTGTACTGTTTACTCAGGAGTTCAAGGTTGAAGTTAGCTGTGATTGCACCCTGCATTTCAGCCTGAGCCACGTGGCAACACTTTGCCTCTACAAAATAATTCAATATAAAAAACATATTAAATTAAAATAAAAACACTTTCAGGCATTTTTTGGAAGTGTGTATGACTGCTCTAAATGCATAGACATTGTTTAAAGTTGAGCAGTTCATTGGGAACAGTCAGTGAACATTGTTTATATTGTTTTCCAAAAATTAGGACAAATACATTAGAATATTATATGTAAATATCTAATAACTTTTGTGCAATAAATATTGACAAATGTCAAGCCATTGTGTTTATAGGCTTTTCTTTCAAAATATTCATAGTTTAATTGGAGGATGAAGAGAAGAGCAATAATTGCAATGTACTCTGACAAGTGTTACAATATATGCAATTTAGTAACTTAGTTGGAGAGGAAGGAAATTCTTAACTGGGTTTACAGGGGTTTGGGGAACCTTCTTAGGGCAAGAACAATTTACCACATCTGTAAGGATATGAATTTGCAAGAATGTTTGGAGAAAAACATGGTAGAAAAAAAGAAACATTCTTTCTATCAATGACAGAAGTTCTAACAGAGCATATGATGCATTTGGCCCAATTCTTAGACCATACTAGCTCAATAAATATTTCATGAATGAATCCATGAATGGAAGTTATTGGGAAAAGGATTCTGGAAGAGGATTTCAAAATCCTATAAAGGAAAGGTAAATAGCCTGGACTTTACAATTTTGCCTGCTTTTCTGTAAGTTCTTGTTATGTTTACTACCTCATAAGCTCTGTTTTATGTTTTGGTCTTTTCACAAATATCACGCATGAGTCGTTTCTCAGACTACTTCTCTCTTGATCCCTTGATACTATAATTGTCTCTGATAGTCCTTTGTGTGAGGTCCTGGGTTTGTATGCCCAGAGATACATCAGTCACCTCTCTCTGGCACTGTTCTGTAATAGAGAGGCATGGCCCTTGGGAGATATGGTTCCTAGTCTCCTATAAAAATTACTTCCTGTTTCAGCTCAGTCAAGGAGTGCCACTGCAGAGATTAGAGAACAAAAAGATGAGAGAATATAGTTTGTTTCCCTCTCCTTCTCAGTAGGGGATATGTTTCTGCAGTGATTCCATGGCCTGCAGGACATACTCTGTGATTCAATTTTCTGTGTAGTGACCCTAATCCTAGGCTGACTCTTCTAATGCCTTTTTCTCCAGTGGTCTTCTCAAAAGGATTTTGATACTATTTTTGGTTTTAAATTAAATATATATATATATATAGATAGATAGATATAGATATAGATATAGATATAGATATAGATATATAGATATGGAATGGGGGCAGGAAAGTGCCCGGTAGAGGAAGGTGTGGCTCTTAGCTAGGCCTCCATACTCAGGCCTGTGCTCACTGACCTAGGTGAGGACACGCACTTCTGTTTTCCTGCCCAAATTGGTGAGGACATGCGGTTCTGTTTTTTTTTTTTTTTTTTTTTTTTTTTTTTTTGCCTTAGCATTGCATTTTCCAAGAACAACCTGGCCTGACTTACCCCCATCCTGTGCTATCAGAAACCCTGAGATGCTAGTAGGCAGAGACACAGCAGCTGGACATTGAGAGGAACCATCAGCAGAGCAAGACACAGCAACTGGACCTTGAGGGGACACCAGAGAAAGGAGAGCACAAAGACTGAGGTGGTGGGCCATCCACTGCAGAAGAACACAGAGTTCTGCGGGGCTGTGGGAGGACAGTGCTGAGCTGCCTCATTCCAAATCAAAACCACCTTTCCACTCCATCTCCCTTCTGGCTCCCCATCCATCTGTTGAGAACTTCCACTCAATGAAACCTTGCACTTATTCTCCAAGCCCAAGTGTGAGACAGGACAATTCTTCAGGTACACCAAGGCAGGAAACCCTGGGATCCAGAAATCCCTCTGTCTTTGTAGTAAAGTACGGTGTCTAATTGAGCTAACATAAGCCGCTTACAGATGGATAAACTAAATTAACAACGTGTAACACATACCCACTAGGGATTCAGGAGCTGTAAGCATTCACCCCTAGATGCTGCCTGTGGTCGGAGTCCCACAACCTGTCCTCATTCCTTGCCTGGCTGTGGGGAGTAAGGGATGTTTTCCCATTTCAATATGAGTCTGTTTCCAATGCAGTGTGCTTTCTGAAATACTGCAGTGTTACCTTATTTCATATATTTGACAAAACTATAACTAATCTGAGAAGAAAATAAATGATGGAGAAGAAGGAAGAAATATGGAACATTGTGTTTCACAATGAATGTAAACAACTATAATTATGATTAATCAATATATGAGAACAGCCAAGCAGGTGCTTAATGTCGTGAGTTGAGGGGGCACTACTCCAGTGTCTTGGGATTTCATTCTGAAACAGAAAGTGTGAGCAGAAATAAGGTCAGATAGGGTAGAGGATACAGTCTGGTGAGGTGTGGATTGTGTCCCACACTTTCACCTGAAAAGAAGGTGAAGACAGATGACACAGAAGTTGCTTTCAATTGCATCCCCGCATTCCCTTAAGAGCACAAGCAGTGCAAACCATGACCCGGTGTTCAAGTGGGAGTTTTCCAACGTGCCATGAACATATGGACTGCAAACTGGGGCTTTGCACTTTGAGGGCTTTCTTACATGGGGCCAAATGGGAGTGGGATGGATTGATGCTGGGTGAGATATGGCCTCCAGAGTTGCCTCCTTTTTTCTGACTTCCATGTTCCTCATCAAATTAGGGTTTCCTTGTTCTGGCTCACTGTCTTCCACACTAACCATTTCCTAGTTCACAAAGGATGACCCTCATGGGAATCCATTGTGTGAGTATTTTCTTCAAAACACTGTCAGGTTTTAATGACTCGACAGCTTTGATACTTTAAAAACCATAAATTCCTGTAGAGCCACCAACAGGTAAACTCTTGTTTTCCCACTTCAATCAAAGGGTGGCATGACTCCTATGGAGTGAGAAGCAGGCAACCACATCTAACATTTGCCTGGTAATCTAGGCTCTGTTTCATTTCTTCTGCACGTCCTTTCTCATTGTCATAGATCTCCTTCAATTGGCTGTTGCTGGATGGGACTGTCTCTCACTACAGATCTTTTGGAAGCAAGGGATTTCAGAAGTAAAAAAGACTTCGGATAGACTGGCTGAACTTCAGGTTGTGGGTTGTGGTCACATTGTGGGGCTGAGGATGTTTGCACTTTGCAAGAGAATTTTGTGTCCTCTGACAAGACTCATTGAACATTGCTTGTACTCCAGCACAAGGCAGCTCATTCTCTCAGGTAAGCACTGATTTTTCTTGGCTTTCATGGAGTTCTACATTGCCTGCCAACAGCACTACTGGACACCATTTTCAGGTTTGCAATCACCACAGATGGCCTCTGAGACACTGTCACAAACTCATCTACCCACACACGAGGCCAGTTCAAGGTGAGGGAACACTGCTCCACCTTGAAATTGACTTTGTAGTGGTTCCTGCCTATCCCGGAGAGCTCCTGTGAGGCCCAGGGTAAAGAGAGGCAGTGAGGTCAAGAACCCAGCAATCTTTCACAGACACCCATCTCTGGGGTCTCATTTATGATTCCATCACATAAAGAACCCTCAACAACTCACTGGACCCTTTTCCAATCCCCATGTGACCTGATTCTTGCACACAGCCTCTTCTGGGAATGGAGTCAGAAGAGCAGTTTCCAGCGACCATCTCACAGTCTCTAAATACTTCCTCCTTCGCCAGGACCCCACCACCAAGATGACCCGAAGGAACAATAAGGTAGAGATTTTTAGGGGCTCAAGTAGGTTATTGCAGGCAATTTTTTTTTCTCAATACCAGGCTGGCTCTGCCTGTACCATTTTCCTCTGCTTAGGCAGGCTGACAGTTCTGACAGCCACACACCTGAGCCTGCCTCATGAATGCTCATGAGCTAGTCTCAAAGCACCAGGCCTGAGCAGTGAGCTCTGGCTAGTGACACAATAAATGCCACCATTGCCTAGTGACAAGTCCCTGTGGCTTGGCAGAGAATAAGACCTCCGTGGAGATGCATCAGCCATGGACTCTCGCCTATCTTCTCTGTGGGATCTGCGTGACAGTCCCATGACTCTAGTAGAGGGTAGATGTGAGCCAGCCCGAAGAAACATCAAGCAGATTTGCAGGAATGAACCATGAAATCCCTAAGGATACAAAGCAGTCTTCAGGATGCCTGAGGACTGCTTAGGTGTTACAAGGGTGACTCTTTTTGAAATATGCCCCAAAATGATTACTAGGTACAACTCACCTGTGTTCCCTGGGGTTGATCTTTCCCAGGTATGGCTTCCTGAAGAATTACACAGACTCAGAAGCTGGTTTGCTGTTTGTTTCTGTGGGAGTGTTGCGAGTATTGGGTGTCTGCTTGCATGTGTGGCCTTGTGTATCTGTGGGTGTATGTGTGGGAGTGTGTCCCTGTAAGTGGAACCTGCCTAAAGTAATGTGGTAAATGCATTGCAGCACTCCTCTCTCTCTTTTTTTTTTTTTTTTAAGAACCCAACATTTTGGTCACCTGTATGTGTGGTTCTGCTTGGGCTGTGTGGCTCCCTGTTCTTAATTTCTCTGTAGATATTGAATCCGCAGTGTAGATATTGAATCCCAAGAACTGATATCTCCCACTGTTTTGTAGTCCCATGGCCAACCTAAGGTGAGAAATACTAGCAGTCTTGTCCTCAGGACTCCTTGAATTTACCTCAAATTTGGTTCCCAGCTGAACAAGAGCTTAAAGTCATCAGGGGACACTCTTCCATTTTCTTGGGGTTTCATTCTGGCAGAGAGTGTGAGCAGCAATAAGGTAAGTGAGGGGTGAGGATACAATCTGGTGAGGGGTTGATGGGGTCCAACACCTTCACCTGCAAAAAGGTGAGGACAGATGACACAGAAGTTGCTTCCAACTGCATTGCTGCATTCCCTTAATTATACCAGCAGTCTACACTATGGACCCGCATTCATCTGGGAGTACTCCAATGTGCAGGTAATATTGAGAGAAAACTGGGGACATCATGGCAAACTCCCAGAGTGGGATGGATTGATCCCAGTTGGGATGTGGTCTCCATATTTGCCTCTTCCTTTCCTGACTTGCATGTTCCTCTTCGGTCTAGGGTTTCCTGGGAATGTCTTGCACACTAAATATTTCCCAGTTCATGGAGGATGACACTCATGGGAATCCCTTGCGTGAGTGTTTCCTTCTAAACACTGTCATGTTTTAATGACCAGGCTGCTTTGATACATCTAAAACCATAGATTCCCATTACAGATGCCAGCAGGTAAATTTTTGTTCTCCAACTTCTATCAGAGGATAGCATGATTCCTGCGGTATGAGAAGCAGGCCGGAGTGTCTGGCTTTTGCCTGGTAATCTAGGCTGTGTTTCATTGCTTCTTCATGTCCTTTCTCATTGTGCAGGGAGTATTTCACTGGGCTTTTGTTGGATGCGACTGCCTCTCAGCACAGATTATGTAGCTGTCAGGGATTTCAAAAAGTGAAACGACTTCGGATAGGCTGGCTGTGCTCCAGGTTGTGGGTGATTGTCTCCTTCTCAGGGCTGAGGTTGCTTGCACTTTGCAGGAGAATTTTGTGTTCTGTGACAAGAATCATTGAACATTGCTTAAACTCCAGCAAAAGGTATCTCATTCTCTTAGGCAACTCTTGATTGTTCTTTTCTTTCATGGGGAATCCACAGTGCCCCTCTGGACTACTGGACACCCTTTTCAGGCTGGCCATCACCACAGATGGCCTCTGAGACACTGTCTCAACCTTATGTGCACCAATGAGAGGACAGTCCGAGGTGTGAAACACTGCTCTGCTTTGGACTTGCCTTTGTCATGGTTTCTGCCTTTCCCAGAAAGCCCCTGTGAGGCCCAGGGTGAAGAGAGGCAGTGAGGTCCAGAGCCCAGCTATCTTTCACTGACACCTAGTTCTGGGGTCTGAGGTGTAATTCAATCACCCAAAGAATCCTCAAAAACACACCAGACTATATTCCAATACCCATGGGACCTGATTCCTGCACAAGGACTCTTTTGGGAATGGAGCCAGAAGGGCAGTTTCTAACAAACACCTTGCAGTCATGAAATACCTCTTCCTGCAGTGGTACCTGATGATGGAGATGGCTCAAAGGTGCCCTGAGGTTGAGATTTTCATGGTCTTAAAGTGGGTTTTCATAGGCAGCCTTTTTCCTGAAACCAGGCTGGCTCTGTCTGTATCATTTTCTTCTGCTTAGACAGGCTGACAGCTCTTACAGCTGGGTGTCCCATCTTGCCACATGAATGCTCATGCTCCAGTCTCAGGGCATCAGGCATGATTGTGAGCTCTGGCTAGTGTCACCACGAATGTCACCATTGCCTACGGACAAGTCCCTGTGGCTTACCAAAGAAGGAGACCTCCCTGGAGGTGCGTTAGCAGTGGACTCTCACCTGTCTTCGTTGTGGGATACATGGGATAGTTGCATAATCCTAGGAGAGGGCAGATGTGAGCCAGCCTGAAGAAACTGCAAGCAGAGCCCCAGTAATAAATCAATAAACCATGACATCCCTAATGATCAGAAATGTCTGCAGGACTTCTCAGGTCTGCCAAGATGTTGTAGGGGTGAGTCTTTTTGAAACTTGCCCCACTGTGATTTCTATGTACATCTTGACTGTGTTCTCTGGGGTTGCTATCTCCCAGGTGTGTGTTCCTGCAGAATCAACAAAACTCAGGAGCTACAGAGCTGTGTGTTTCTGTGAAATTGTTGTGACTGTTGGATGACTGCTTATGTGTGTGGCATTGTGAGTTTCTGTGTGTGTGGTGTGAGTGTGTGTGTGTTTGCCTGTAACTGGAGTCTTCTTAAAGGAATGTGGCAAATGCACTTCAGTACTTCTTTTTTTTTTTGAGTCTCCCAAACATTTGGTTACCCTTGAGTTTACTTCAAATTATTTTCATTGCCAAGAAGTATGAGCCACAATAAGGTCAGATAGGGGTGAGGATATAATCTGGTGAGAAGTGGATGGGGTCCTGCAACTTCATCTGCAAATAAAAAAAAAAGAAAAAAAAAGACAGATGACACAGAAGGTGCTTCCAACTCCATCCCAGCATTCCCTTAATTGTACAAGCAGTCCACATCGTACTTCAACGTGCAAGGAACATTTGGACTGCAAATTGGGACCATCTTGGCAAACTCCCTATCTGAATTTTTTCATACCTAGGGCCAAATGGAAGTGGAAAGGCTTGATGCTGGGTGGAATGTTGCTTTCACACTTGCCTCTTATTTTTTTGACTTCCATGTTCCTCATTGGCCTAGTGTTTCCTGGTTCTTGCTCAACAACTTCCACACTAAATGTTTATCAGTTCATGGAGTATGACCCTCATAGTAATCCATTGCATGGGTATTTTCTTCTAAAACCTGTCACATTTTAATGACTGGGCAGCTTTGATACTTTTAAAATTGTAAATTCCCATTCCAGCCACCACAAGAAAATGCTTGTTTCTTCACTTCCATCAGAGGGCTGCATGATTCCCATAGAATGAGAAGCTGGCAACCATGTCTGGCTTTGTCCTGGTAATGTAGCCTTAGTTTCATTTCATCTGCCTGACCTTCTCATTGTGGAGAAGCTCTATCATTGGGAGGGAGAGATCTCACTACAGATTATTTTGTTGCCAGAAATTTCAGAGACCAAAATGGACTTAATGTGGGCTGTCTGTGCTCCAGGTTGTGGATCATTGTCTCTTTGCATGGCTTGAGGTTGTTTGCAGTTTGCAGGAGGCTTTTGGGTACTCTAACAGGAATCATTGAACATTGTTTGGACTCCAGCATAAGGCATCTCTTTTTCTGAATTGAGCCTTAATTTTTCTTTGCTTTCATGGGAAATCCACAGTGCCCCTCAATAGCACAGCTGGACACCTTCTTCAGGCTTGCCATAGATGCTGATGGCCTCTGAGAGACTGTCTCAACCTCATCTGCACAAGTGAAAGGCCAGTCTGAGGTGTGAGAACACTGCTCTACTTTGGACTTGTGTTTGCTGTGGTTTCTGCCTGTCTGAGAGAGCCCCTGTGAAGCCCAGGGTAAAGGGAGGCAGTGACATCTAGAGTATGGCCATTTTTTGCTAACACCAGCCTCTGCTGTCTCAGGTATGATTCTATCACCCAAAAAACCCTCAACAACATACCAGACTATATTCCAATCCCCATGGGAAAATATTCTTGCACACAGACTGTTTCAGGAATGGAGTCAGAAGGGCAGATTCCAGTGGCCTGCCAGTGGGACTTGACCATGGAGATGGCCTGAACGGGCCCCGAAGTCGAGAATTTTAGCATCCTGCAGTAGGTTATCACAGGCAGCCTGTTTCTGGATACCAGGCCAGCTCTGCCTGTACCATTTTCCTCTGCTTAGACAGGTTGGCAGCTCTGACAGCCAGGCACCCAAGCCTTCCTCATGAATGCGCATGCACTAGTTTCAGGGTACTAGGCTTGATTGTGAGCTCTGGCTAGTCACAATGAAGGTCACTATTGCCTAGTGACAAGCCTCTGTGCCTTGATGAAGAAAGAGACCTCCGTGGAGATGTGTCAGTGGTGGACACTCACCTGTCTGTTCTGTAGGATCCATGGGATAGTCCCATGATCCCAGGAGCGGGCAGACATGAGTCAGCCAAAAGAATCATCAAGTAGAGCTCCAGGAATACACCACGAAATCCCTAAGGATCTAAAAGGATATGCAGGATTCCTCAAGTCTGCCTAGACATTGGAGGGGTGAGTCTTTTTGAAACTTGCCCCACTGTGATTTCCAGGTGCCTTCCACCTGTGTTCCCTGGGATTACTCTATGCCAGGTGTGGCTTCCTGCAGAACCAAGCAGCCTCAGGAGCTGTCAGGCTCTGTGTTTCTGTTGGAGTGTTGCGAGTGTTAGATGTCTGCATGTGTGTGTGGCATTGTGTGTGTGTGTGTGACTATAACTAGGGTCAGCTTAAAGGAATTTGTCTAATGCACATTAGCACTTCTTTTTATTGAGTCTCCAAACCTTTTGGTGGCCTGTATGTGTTACTCTGCTTTGGCAGTGGGACTCAGTGTTCTTTATTTTTCTGTGGATCAGAATCTGCAGTGAATTGAAAGGCAGGCTGAGACCGACTAGCACACAAATCACCTTCCCCTGCAAAAAATCCCAGTCTTCTAGAAATAATAGGAGCACACCACACCAAAAAATATACATTTCTGAATGTTTCAGTGTCCTGTGACCAACTCAGGGAGAGACACTAGCAGTCCTATCTAAGGGGTTCTTTGAATTTACCACAAATTCAGGTCCCAGTTGAGCAGGTGCTTCAAGTTGTGAGGGGGCACTCCTCCATAGTCTTGCATTTTCATCACGGGATATAGGGTGTGAGCAGCAAGAAAGTCAGATTGGAGTGAGGATACAATTTGCTGAGAAGTTAATGCATTCCCACAAAGTCACCTGCAAAAAAATTGAAGACAGATGACACAGCAGGTGCTTCCAACCCCTTCCCTGCAACACCTTAATTGCACAAGCTGTTCACACCATGGGCTGGTGTTCAGGTGAAAGTACTCCAACGTGCAAGGAACATTTGGAGTGCAAATAAGGGCCATCACAGCAAACTCCTGATTTGAGGGCTTTGATACCTGGAGCCAAATGAGAGTGAAATAGATTGATGCTGGGCTGGGGGGATGTGGCCTCCACACTTGCCTCTTCTTTTCCTGACTTCCATTATCTTCGTTGGCCTAGGGTTTCCTGGGTCTGGCTCAACGACTTCCACACTAAATGTTTCCCAGTTCACAAAAAATGACCCTCATGGGAATCCATTGTGTGAGTTTCCTTCTAAACACTGTCACATTTTAATGACTGGGCAGCTTTGGTATTTTTAAAATTGTAAATTCCTGTTACAGTCACCAACAAGGAAACTGTTGTTCTCTCACTTATATCAGAGGGCTGCATGGTTCCTATAGGATGAGAAGCAGGCAGCCATGTCTGGCTTCTGCCTGGTAATCTAACCTTTGTTTCATTTCATCTGCATGGCCTTCTCATAGTGGAGGGGTTCTTTCATTGGTGTGTTGCTGGATGGTGCTGCCTGTCACCACAGATTATTTAGCTGCTACGGATTTCAGACAGCAAAAGGGACTTTGTGTATGCTGGCTGTGCTCCAGGTTGTGGTTTGTTGTTTCATTGTAGGGGCTGATATTATTTGCACTTTGCAGGAAGGTTTTGGTTCCTCTGACAGGAATCATTGAACATTGCTTGGACTCCAGCACAAGGCAACTTATTCTCTCAGGGCAGCCTTAATTTTTTCATTTTTCTTTTCTTTCAAGGGGAATCCACAGTGCTCCTCAACAGCACTACTGGATACACTTTTCAGGCTTGCTCTCACCACAGACAGCCTCTGAGACAGTGTATCAACCTCATCTGCACCCATGAGAGGCAAGTCTGAGGAGTGACAACACTGCTCCACCTTGGACTTGCCTTTGTCATGGTTCCTGCCTTTTTCAGAGAGCCCCTGTGAGGCCCCTGATGAAGGGTAGCAGTGGGGTGAGGATCCTGGCCATCTTTTGCTGACACCCACCTCTGGGGTCTCAGGTATGAACCTATCAATCATCCAAAGATCCCTCAAGAACACACGAGACTGTATTCTAGACCCCATAGGACCTGATTCTTGCACACAGCCTCTTTTGTTAATGGACTCACAAGAGCTGTTTCCATCGACCACCACACAGTCTGAAAATGCCTTATCCTCCAGTGGAACCTGACCACGGAGACAAGCTGAAGGGGCCCTAAAGTGGAGACTTTAAGGTCCCACAGTGGTTTTTTGCAGGTATCATAATTCCTGAAACCAGACTGGCTCTGCCTGTACAATTTTCTTCTGTTTAGGCAGGTTGACAGCTCCTGCAGATGGACACCTGAGCCTGCCTCATGAATGTGCATATGCCTGTCCCAGGGTACCAGGCCTGATTGTGAGCTCTGGCTAGCCTCACAGTGAATATCGCCATTGCCTAGGGACAAGTTCCTGTGGCTTGGCAGATAAGGAGACGTCCTTGAAGGTGCTTCGGCAGTGGACTTTCACCTGTCTTCTCTCTGTGTTACACAGGATAGTCCCATGATTCAAGTAGAAGGCAGAGGTGAGCTAGCATGAAGAAACATCAAGCACAGCCCCAGGAATAATCCACAAAAACCTTAAGGATCCAAAGGGATCTGTAGGATTCCTCAGTCCTGCCTAGATGTTGTAGGGGTGGGTCTTTTCAGAACTGGCCCAACTGCGATATATGGGTACAGCCCACCTGTGTTCTTCAGGGTTGCTGTCTCCAATATGGGACTTCTGCAAAACCATACCACCTGAGGATCTGCCAGCCTGTGTTTCTGTGGGAATGTTGTGAATGTTGGATGGCTGCATGGGTGTTCAACATTTTGTGTGTGTGTGTGTGTGTGTGTGTGTGTGTGTGTGTGTGTGTGTATGTAAGTGGAGTCTGCTTACAGGAATTTGGCTAATGCACTTCAGCACTTCTTTTTTTGAGTCTCCAAGTCTGTTGGTGGTGTGTCTGTGTGGATCTGCTTGGGCTGTGGGATCCTGTGTTCTTTATTTTTCTGTGGATTATGAAGCCACAATGAATTGGGAGATGTGCCAAGAGATGACAGCTTCCAAATCAACACCACCCTGCAAGAAAAGGCACTCTTCTAGAAAGAAGAGGAGCACACCACACCAAAAAACAGGCATCTCCTAGTGTTTCAGTGTTCTGTGGCCAAACCAGGGAGAGTCCCTGCAGTCCTCTCCTCAGGTCCCCTTGAATTTACATGGAATTCATTTCCCAGATGAGCAGGTGATTCACATCATAAAGAAAACTCCTCCAACATCTTGGGATTTCCTCTTCGGACACAGAGTTTGAGCAGCAATGAGGTCAAAAATGGGTAAGGATACAATCTGGTGAGGGGTGGACGGGGTCATGAAACTTCAACTGCAATAAAAATGAAGACAGATGACAGAAGAGTTTCCAACTCCATCTCCTCATTCCGTTAATTGCACTAGCAGTCCACACCATGGCCTCGTGTCCAGGTGGGGGTACTCCAACTTGCAAAGGACATTTGGAGTGCAAATAGGGGCCATGCTGGCTAAATCCCAATTTGAGGGCTTTCATACCTGGAGCCAAATGGAAGTTGAATGCATTGATACTAGGTGGGATGTGGCCTCCACACATGACTCTTCTTTCCTGACTTACATGTTACTAGTCAGCTTAGGGTTACCTGGCTCTGACTTAATGACTTCCATACTAAACATTACCCAGTTCACAAAGAGTGCTCCTCATGGGAATCCATTGCATGAATGTTTCCTTCTAAACACTCACATTTTAATGACTGGGCAGCTTTGATACTTTTAAAATAGTAAATTCCCATTACAGGTGCCATTAAGGAAATACTTATTTCCCCACTTCTATCGGAGGGCTGCATGATTCCTGTAGAATGGGAAGCAGGCAGCACTGTCTAGCTTTTGCCTGACAGCCTAGCCTCTGTTTCATTTCATCTGCATGGTCTTCTTATAGTTGAGGGGCACTTTCACTGGGCTGGTGCTGGATGGGACTGCAGTGTGCCACAGATTATATAGCTGTCACAGATATCAGAGAGCAAAAGGGACTTTGGGTTGGCTGGCTGTGCTCCAGGTTGTGGGTCATTGTCTCATTG
Organism: Homo sapiens; assembly: GCF_000001405.40. NCBI lineage: Eukaryota > Metazoa > Chordata > Mammalia > Primates > Hominidae > Homo > Homo sapiens. Next base: position 8,765,120 of record NC_000024.10, on the reverse strand, counting down.
TGGTGGCTGAGGTTGTTTGCACTTTGCAGGAGGCTTTTGCGTCCTCTGACAGGAATCATTGAATAATACTTAAAATCCAGCATAAGGCAGCTCGTTTTCTCAGGAGAGCCTTTACTTATTTATTTTTTGCATTCAGGAGGAATCCACAGTGTCTCTAAACAGCACTATTGGACACACTTTTCTGGCTTGCCATTGCCACCGATGGCTTCTGAGACACTGTCTCAGCTTCATCTGCACCCATGAGAGGCCATTCTGAGGTGTGAGGACACTGTTCCACCTTGCAGTTGCCTTTATTGGGATTCCTGCCTATTCCAGTGAGCTCCTGTGAGTCCCAGGATGAAGGGAGGCGGTGAGGTACAGAGATTGGCCATCTTTCACTGGCACCTGCCTCTGGGGTCTCAGGTGTGATTCTATCACCCAAAGAACCCTCAACAACACACCAGAATATATTCCAATGCCTGTGGGCCCCATAACTAGCACACAGCCTCTTGCTGGAATGGAGCCAAAAAGAGCAGTTTCCAGTGACCATCTGTCATTCTAGAAATGCCTCTTCCTCCAGCTGGGCCCAACCACGGAGATGCCCCAAAGGGGCCCTGAGGTCGAGATTTTTATGATCCCAAGGTCGGTTTTTGCAGGCAGCCTTTTTCCTGATACCAGGCTGGCTCTACCAGTACGATTTTCCTCTGCTGGGTGTCTGAGCCTGCTTCACGAATGTGCATGAACTAGTCTCAGGGCACCAGGCCTGATTGTGAGCTTTGGCTAATGTCACAGTGAATATCACTGTTGCCTAGCGACACTTCTCTGAGGCTTGCAGAAGAAAGAGGCCTCCGTGGATATGCTTCAGTGGTGGACACTTGCCTGTCTTCTCTGTGAAATTCATGGGATAGTTTCATAATACTAGGAGAAGGCAGGCATAAGCCAGCCTGAAGAAACCTCAAGCAGAGCCCAGGAATAAATTGCAAAGTCCCGAATGTTCAAAAAGATCTGAATTATTCTTCACGTCTGCCTAGATTTTGCAGGGGTGAGTCATTTTGAAACTTGCCTCACTGTGATTTCTAGGTACTGCCTGCCTGTCTTCCCCAGGACTGTTTTTTCCCAGGTGGGTCTTCCTGCAGAACTAAGCAAACTCACGAGCTCCCAGGCTGTGTGTTTCTGTGGCAGTGTTGTGAGTGCTGGATGTCTGTGTGTGTGTGTTTAAGTGTGTGTGGTGTGTACGTGTTTGCCTGTAACTGGAGCCTGCTTAAAGGAATGTGGCTAATGTAGTTCGGCGCTTCTGTTTTTTTTTTGTTTGTTTGTTTGTTTTCTTTGAGTCACCCAACCTTTTTGCAGCCTGTCTGTGTGACTTTGCTTCAGCTGTGGGGCTCCGTGTTCTTTACTTTCCTGTGGATCATTAGTCTGCAGTGAATAGGGAGGTAGGCCGAGACCTGCTGGCATCCAAATCCCCTCCCCCTGTAAAAACAGCTGTTCTTCCAGAAAGAAGTGAAGTACACCACACCAGAAAACAGGCATCTCCCAGTGTTTCATTGTCCTGCAGCCAAACTAGGGAGAGACACTAACAGTCCTGTCTACAGGGCCTGTTGAATTTACCTCGAATTCTGCTCACTGCCAAGCAGTAGTTTCATGTCATGAGGGGGATTCCTCCATAGTCTTGTGATTTCATTCTGGGACATAGGGTATGAGCTGCAATAAGGTCAGATTGGGGTGAGGATACAGTCTGCTGAGGGGTGGATGGGGTTCTGCAAGTTCACCAGCAAAAAAAAAAAAAAAAAAAAAAAAAAGAGAGAGAAAACTGATGACACAGAAAGTGCTTCCAACTCCAACCCAGCATTCCCTTAATTGCACAAGCAGACCACACCATGACCCAGTGAACAATTGGGAGTATTTCAACATGTAAGAAACATTTAGAGTGCAAATTGGGGCCATCCTGTCAAACTCCTGATATGAGTGCTTTCATACCTGGAGCAAAATGGGAGTGGAATTATTGATGCTGGGTGGCATGTGGCCTCCACACCTCCCTCATTTTTTACTGACTTCCATGTTCCTCCTCAGCCTATGGTTTCCTGTGTCTGACTCCAACTTGCACACTAAATGTTTATCAGTTCACACAGTATGACCCTTACGGGAATCCATTGTGTGAGTGTTTCCTTCTAAAAGTTATCACATTTTAATGATTGGGCAGCTTTGATACATTTAAAAGTGTAAATTCCCCTTGCAGCTGCCAACAAAGAAACTCTTGTTCTTCTACTTCTATCAGGGGGCTACATGTTTCCTGTGGGATGAGAAGCAGGCAGCCATGTCTGTCTTTTGCTTGGTAATCTAGATTCAGTTTCATTTCATCTGTGTGGCCTTATCATTTTGGACGTTCTCTATCATTGGGTTGTTGCTGGAAGGGACTGCCTTATGCATTGTGTGGGTGTTTGTATGTGCCTATCAGTGGAGTCAGTTTAAAGGAATTGTCTAACACACGTTGTCGCTTCTAGAAGTGGCAAAAAAGCCACCCTTCTAGAAAAAAAGAGGATCACAGCACACCAAAGAGCAGACATTTCTGAGTGTTTCATTGTCTGCAGGCAACTAAGAGAAAATAGAAGTCCTGTCTGTAGGGCCCCTTGAATTTTTCTCAAATTTAGGTCCCAGGCAAGCATGTGCTGCATGTCATGAGGGGGCACTCCTCCCTCATCTTTTGTTTTTATCCTGGGAGATAGAGTGTGACCAGCAAGAAGGTCAGATAGGAGTGAGGACACAATCTGCTGAGAAGTGTATTGGGTCCCACAACTTCACCTGCAAAAAAAGTGAAGACAGATGACACAGCAGGTGCTTCCACATTCCCTTAATTGCACAAGCTGTCCACACCATGGCCCAGTTTTCAGATGAAAGTACTCCAATGTACAAGGAACATTTTGAAGTACAAATGGGGGCCATGCTGGCAAACTCCTGATTTGAGTGCTTTCATACCTGGAGCCAAATGGGAGTGAAATGGATGGATGCTGGGTAAGATGAGCCTCCATGATTGCCTCTTGCTTTTCTGATTTCCATGTTCCTCATCAGCCGAGGGTTTCCTGGGTCTGGGTCAATGACTTCCACACAAAACGTTTCCCAGTTCACAAAGAACAACCTTCATGGGAATTCATTACCTGAGAGTTTCCTTCTAAACACTGCAATATTTTAATGACTGGCAGCTTTGATAGTTTTAAAACTGTAAATTCCAATTACAGGCACCAACAAGGAAACTCTTGTTCTCCCACTTCTATCAGAGGGCTGCATGGTTCCTGTAAGATGAGAAGCAGGCAGCCATGACTGGCCTTTGCCTGGTAATCTGGCCTCTGTTTAATTTCATCTGCATGGGCTCCTCACAGTGGAGTGGCTCTTTAATAGGTCTGTTGCTGGATGGGACTCCTTCTCACCATAGATTATTTAGCTGCCACGGATTTCAGAGAGAAAAAGGGACTTTGTGTAGGCTGGCTGCACTTTGGGTTGCAGGTGGTTGTCTCATTATGGGGGCTGAGGTTGTTTGCACTTTTCAGGAGGCTTTTGGGTCCTCTGATAGGAATCATTAAACATTGCTTGAACTCCAGCACAAAGCAGCTCGTACTCTCTGGCAAACCTTGATTTTTCTTTGCTTTCATGGGGAAGCAAAGTGCCCCTCAACAGCACTACTGGATGCCCATTTCAGGCTTGCCATCACCACAGACAAGACACTGAGATACTGTCTCTACCTCATTTGTACCCGTGAGAGGCCAGCTGGAGGTGTGAGAACACTGCTCCATCTTGGACTTGCCTTTGTCATGGTTACTCCCTTTCCCAGAGAGCTTCTGGGAGGCTCCAGATGAAGGGAGGGAGTAAGGTGAGTAGCTCAGGCATCTTTCACTGACACCCACATCTGGGTTCTCAGGTATGATTCTATTACCCAAAGATCTCTCAGGAACACAGCAGACGGTATTCCAATCCCCATGGGACCGGGCTGTTGCACACAGCCTCTTTCACGAAAGGAGTTAAAAGGGCAGTTTCCATCGACCAGCTCATAGTCTCGAAATGCCTTCTCCTCCAGTGGAACATGACCACGAAGATGGCCCAAAGGAGCCCTGAAGTGGAGACTTTTAGGTTCCCACAGTGGATTTTCACATTCATCATTTTCTCCCAATACTAGGCCAGCTCTGTCTGTATCATTTTCTTCTGCTTAGGCAGGCTGACAGCTCTGACAAAGGGGCACCTGAGCCTTCCTCAGGAATGTGCATGCACTAGTTTCAGGGCACTAGGCCTGATTGTGAGCTCTGATTAGCCTCACAATGAATGTCAGTGTTGCCTAATAACTAGTCCCTGCTGTTTGGCAGAGAAGGAGACCTCTTTGAAGCCACTTCAGCTGCAGACTCTTGCCTGTATTATCTGTGGGATATGCAGGATAGTCTCATGATCCTAGGAGAGGGCAGACGTGAGCCTGCCTGAGGAAGTGTCAAGCACAGCGTCAGAAATAAACGACAAAAACCATAAAGATCCAAAGGGACCTGCAGGATGGCTCTGTTCTGCCTTGACGTTTTAGGGGTGAGTCTTTTTTAAACTTGCCCCACTGTGATGTCTACGTGCAGCCCACCTGTGTTCCCTGAGGTTGCTCTCTCCAATGAGAGGCTTCCTGCAAAACCGCACAGCCTCAGAAGCTGGCTGGCTGTTTGTTTCTGTGGGAGTGTTGCAAGTTGGATGTCAGGGTGTGTGTGTGGCATTGTGTGTGTGTGTGTTTGTGTGTGTGCCTGTAAGTGGAGTCTGCCCAAAGGAATGTGGCTAATGCACTTCAGCACTTCTTTTTTTTTTCAGTTGCCAAGTCTTTTTGGTGGCATGTCTGTGTGGCTCTGCTTGGGCTGTGGGGCTCCATGTTCTTTATTCTTTTATGGATCATGAAGCAACAGTGAATTGGGATATGTGCCAAGACACGGACAGTGTCCAAATCACTTCCTCCTACAGAATAGGCCACTCTTCTAGAAAGAAGAAGAGGACACCACACCAAAAAAAAAAAAAAAAGTTATCTTCTATTGTTTCATTGTCCTGCAGCCAAACCAGGGAGAGCCCCTGCAGTCCTGTCTGCAGGGCCCATGAATTTACCTCAGATTTGGTTCCCAGCAGAGCAGGTGATTCACATTTCAAGGGATACCCTTCCAAGGTCTTGGGATTTCATCCTGAGACATAGAGTATGAGCAGCAATTAGGTCAGAAAGGGGTAATGATACAATCTGATGAGGGCAGGATGGGGTGCCCCGACTTCAACTGCAATAAACAGGTCAGAGTACTGTATTCAGGTCAGAGTACTCCAACGTGCAAGGAACATTTGGAGTGCAAATAGGAGCCATGCCGGCAAGCTCCTGATTTGAGGGCTTTCATGCCCAGAGTCAAATGGAAGTTGAATATATTGATGCTGGGTGGGATGTGGCCTCCATGCATGCCTCTTGTTTTCCTGAGTTCCATGTTACTACTTGGCTTAAGGATCCCTGGATCTGGCTCAAAGACTTCCACACTAAACATTCACAGAGAAAGACCCTCATGGGAATCCTTTGCATATTTTCCTTCTAAACATTCACGTTTTAATCACTGGGCAGATTTGATACTTTTAAAACTGTAAATTCCAGTGACAGGCACCAACAAGGAAACTCTTTTTCTCCCACTTCTGTCGGAGGTCTACATGATTCCTGTAGGATGAGAAGCAGGCCACCATGTCTGGCTTATGCTTGATAATCCAGACTCAGCTTCATTCTAGCTGCAGGGCCTTCTCATAGTGGGAGGGCTCTTTCATTTGGGCTGTTGCTGGATGAGACTGCCTCTTGCTACAGATTAAGTAGCTGTCAGGAATTTTGAAGAGCAAAAGGGACTTCAGGTAGGTTGGCTGGTCTTCAGATTGTGGGTCATTTTCTCATTGTGGGGGCTGACATCGTTTGCACTTTGACTGGGGCTTTTGAGTCCTCTGAGAAGGATCATTGAACATTGCTTAAACTTCAGCACAAGGCAGCTTGTTCTCAGGTGAGCTTTGATTTTTCTTTGCTTTCATGGGGAATCCACAATGCCCCTCCACAGCACTACCTGACACCATTTTCAGGCTTGCCATCAGCACAGATAGCCTCTGAGATACTCTCTTAACTTCACCTGCAACCATGAGAGGCCAGACAGAGGTGTCAGGACACTGCACCACCTTGGACTTGCCTTTGTCATGGTTCCTGCCTTTTGGGGACAACCCCTGCAAGGCCCAGGATGAAGGGAGGTGGTGAGGTCAAGAGCCTGGCCATCATTCATTGACACCAAACTTGGGGGTCTCAGGTATGATTCCATCACCCTATGAACCCTCAACAATACACCAGACAATATTCCAAACCCCATGGGACCCGATTCTTGCACACAGCCTCTTTCTGGAATGGAGCCAGAAGATCAGTTTCCAGTGACCACCTCACAGTCTTAAAACACCTCTTCCTCCAGCGGTACCTGTCCATGGAGATGCCTTGAAGGGACCCTGAGGTCTAGACTTTTACAGTCCCAAAGTGGGTTTTCACATGCATTCTTTTTCCCAATACCTGGCCAGCTCTGCGTGTACAATTTACTTCTGTTTAAGCTGATTGAGAGCTCTGACATCTGGGCATCTAAGCCTGCTGCAGGAATGTGCAGGCAGTAGTCTAAAAGCACCAGGCATGATTGTGAGCTCTGGTTAACTTCCCAATGAATGTCACCATTGCCAAGCAAAAAGTCTCTGAAGCTTGGTGGAGAAAGATACCTCTGTGGAGGTGTGTAGGTGGTGGACTGTCACCTGTCTTCTCTGTGGAATCAACCACATAGTCCCATGATCCAAGGTGAGGGCAGACATGAGCCAGTCTGAAGAAACATCAAGCACAGCCCCAGGAATAAACCATGAAATCCCTGAGGATCTGAAAAGATCTGCAGGATTCCTCAGTCCTGACTAGACATAGGGGTGAGTCTTTTTGAAACTAGCCCTACTGTGATTTCTAGGTATAGTCCAGCTGGTGTTTCTCTCTCCCAGGCAGAGCTTCCTACAAAACCATGCAACCTCAGGAGCTGCTGGGCTGTGTGTTTCTGTGTAAGTATTGTGAGTATCAGATTTCTGTGTTTTTGTGTGTGACATTATGTGTGTATGTGTGTGTGCATTGTGTGTGGAGTCTGCTTAAAAGAAGGTGGCTAACACACTTCAGTGAATTTTTTTTTAGTCTCCTCACTTTTGGTGGTATGTCTGGGTGGCTCTGATTGGGCTGCAGAGATCTATGTTCTTTATTATGCTGTGGATCATGAATCCGCAGTGAATTGGGAGGTGGGCAGAGACACGCTGGCATCCAAATCACCTCCCCCTGCAAGAAAGCATCTTTTCTTGATAGAACAGGGGCACAACACATAAAAAAAAAATAGGCATCTCCTAGAGTTTCATTGTCTTTTGGCCAAACCAGGGGGAGACACTAGTAGTCCTGTCCAAAGGGCCCATTGAATTTACCTCAAATTTGGTTCCCTGCTGAGTAGGTGCTTCATATCATGAGAGGGAAGACCTCCATCATCTTGTGATTTTGTCCTGGGACATGGAGTGTGAACAGCAATAGGGTCAGATGGGGAGAGGACACAATCTGGTGAGGGGTGATGGTGTCCCACAACTTCACCTGCAAAAAACATGAAGACAGATGACACAGAAGGTGCTTCCAAATATATCCCCTCATTCCATATATTTCACAAGCAGTGAACGCCATTGCCTGGTGCTCAGATAAGAGTACTCCAATAGACAAGAAACATTCGGAGTGCCAATTGAGACCATCCTGGCCAACTCCAGATTTGAGGGCTTTCATACCCAGAGCAAAATGGGGAGTGTAATGGATTGATGTTGGGTAGGATGTGGCCTCCACACTTGCCTTTTCTTTTTTGACTTTTATGTTCCTCATCAGCCTAGGGTTTCCTGGGTCTGGCTTAACGAGTTCCACACTAAATGGTTCTCTGTTCATGGAGAATGACCCTCATGGAAATCCGTTGCATGAATGTTTCATTCTAAACACTCTCATGTTTTAATAACTGCAGCTTTGGTACTTTTAAAACAGTAAATTCCCATCACTGCCACCAAAAGGGAAAGTCTTGTTCTCCCACTTCTATTGGAATGCCACATGATTCCTGGAGGATGAGAAGCGGACAGCTGTGTCTGGATTTGCTTGGTAATCTAGCCTCAGTTTTATTTCATCTGCATAACCTTTTCATTGTGTGGGACTCTTCATTTGGACGTTGCTGGATGGGACTGCCTCTCATCACAAATTATTTAGCTGCCAAGGACTTCACACAGCAAAAGGGACTTCGGGTAAACTGACTGTCTTCCAGGTTGTGGGTAATTGTCTCATTGTGGGGACTGAGGTTTTTTCACTTTGCAGGAGGCTTTTGGGCCCTCTGACAAGAATCATTGAACATTGCTTAAACTTCAGCATGAGGGAGCTCATTCTGTCATGTGAGCCATGAATTTTGTTTTGTTTTGTTTTGTTTCATGGTGGAATCCACAGTGACCCTAAATAGTGGTACTAGACACCCTTTTCAGGCTTGCCATCACCACAGACAGCCTCTGAGACACTGACTGATCCTCACCTGCACCCATGAGTGGAAGGTCCAAGGTGCAAGAACACTGCTGCTTCATGCACTTTCCTTTGTCATGGTTCCTGTCTGTCCCAGAGAGCCCTGTGAGGCCCAGGATGAAGGGAGGCACTGAGATCTAGAGTCCAGCCATCTTTCACTGACACCGACCTCTGGAGTCTCAGGTATGATTCTTTCCCCCAAAGAACCCTCAACAATACACCAGAGTATATTCCAATACCCAAGTGACTTGATTCTTGCACACAGCCTCTTTTGGGAATGAAGTTAGAAGAACAGTTTCCACCAACTAACTCACAGTCTGGAAATGCCTCTTCCTCCAGTGGGACCCAACCATGCAGATGGCAAGAAGAAACTTTGAGGTCGAGACTTTTAGGGTCTCACAGTGGGTTTTCACAGGCAGCCTTTTTCTGGATACCTGGCCAGCCCTGCCTGTGCCATTAGGTGGGCTGAGGACGCTGATAGTCTGGCACCCCAGTCTGCTTCACAAATGCACATATGATAGTCTCAGGGCATCAGGCCTGATTGTGAACTCTGGCTAGCTTCAAAATGAATGTCACCTTTGCCTAACCACAAGTCCCTGTGGCTTGGTGGAGAAAGAGACCTCTGTGGAGGTGTGTCAGCAGCAGACTCTCACCTCTTTTCTCTGTGAGATCCACGAGATAGTCCTATGATCCTAAGAGAGGACAGACGTGAGCTAGACAGAAGAAACATCAAGCAGAGCCACAGGAATAAACTGCAAAATCCCTAAAGATACCAAAAGGTCTGCAAAATTCCTCAAACCTTCCTAGACGTTGTAGGGGTGAGGCTTTTTGAAACTTGCCAACTGTATTCCAATCCCCATTATACTGGATTCTTGCATACACGCATTCTCATTTAGGAATGGAATTTGAAGAGCAGTCTCCAGCGACCATCTTACTGTCTTGAAATGCCTCCTCCTCCAGCGTGACCCAAATATGGAGATGGCCCGAATGGGCCCTGAGGTTGATACTTTTAAGGTCCACCATGGGTTTTCAAAGGCATCCATTTTCCCAACTTGGCTGGCTCTGTCTGTATCATTTTCCTCTGCCTAGGCAGGCTGACAGCTCTTAAGGCCGGGCACAAGATCTTGCCTCAAGAATGTCCATGAGCTAGCCTCAGAACATCAGGCTTGACTGTTAGCTCTGGCTGGCATCACAATGAATGTCACCATTGCCTAGCGACAAGTCCCTGCAGCTTGGCAGAGGAGACCTTTGTGGAGGTTCATCGGCTGTGGACTCTCACCTGTCTTCTCTTTGGGATTCATCAGTTAGTCGCGTGATCCTCTGAGAGGTCAGACCTGAGCCAATCTGAAGAAACCTCAAGCAGAGCCCAGGAATAAACTGGGAAACCCCTCAGGATCCAGAAGCATCTGCAGGATTCCTGAGTCCTCCCTAGATGTTTTAAGTGTGAGTCTTTTTGAAACTTGCCTTACTGTGATTTTTAGGTACAGCCTGCTTCTGTTCCTTGCTGTCTTTCAGATGGGGCTTCCTACAAAACCACACAGCCTCAGGAGCTACTGGGCTGTGTGTTTTAGTGGGAGGGTTGTGAGTGTTGGATGTATGCATGCGTGTGTGCTATTTTGTGTTTGTGTGTGTGTGCTGGTAAGTGGAGTCTGCTTAAATAAATATGGCTAATGCATTGCAGCACTTCTTTTTTTTTATGTCTCCCAAAGTTGTGGTGGCCTCTCTGTGTGCCTCTTCTTGGGCTGCTGGACTCCATGTTTTTTATTTTTCTGTGGATCATGAATCTGCAGTGAAATTGGAGGCTGGCCAAGACCTGCTGGCTTCAAGGTTAACAACCCTGGGAAAAAAAATACACATTTCTAGAAAGAAGAGGATCACACCATACCAACAAACAGATATCTCTTAGTGTTTCATTTTCCTGCAGTAAACCAAGAAAGAGACACTAGCAGTCCTGTCTGCAGGGCCCCTGAATTTACCTCAAATTCAGTTCCCAGCCAAGCATGTGTTTCATGTCATGATGGGGCACTTCTTCCTCATCTTGGGATTGGTGGAGAAAAAGACCTTTGTGGAGGTTCGTTGGCTATGAATTCTTGCCTGTCTTCTCTGTGGGATCCATGTGATAGTCTCGTGATCCTATGAGAGGACAGACATGAGCAAGCACATAGACATTTTAAGGGTGAGCCTTTTTGAAATTTGTCCCTCTGAGATTTTTAGGAACAAGCCTGCCTGTGCTCCCCATTCCCTGGGGTTTCTCTCTCCCAAATGGGGCATCCTGCAGAAACAAGCAGCCTCAGAAGCAGCTGGACTGTGTGTTTGTCTGGGAGTGTTGTGAGTGTTGGATATCTGCTTTTGTGTGTGGCATTGTGTTTGTGTGTGTGTGTGTGTGTGTGTGTCCATAAGTGCAGTCAGGTTAAAGGAATTTGGCTAATGCACTTTAATGATTATTATTATTATTTTTTAGTTCCCCAGCATTTCAGTGGCCTCTCTGTGAAGCTCTGCTTCAGCAGTGGGGCTTCGTGTTCTTTAATTTTCTGTAAATTGTGAATCTGCCATGAATTCAGAGGCTGGCCAAGATCTGCCAGCATCTAAATTATTCCCCTTCAAAAAAGAAAAAAAAAGCATCCTTCTAGGAAGAAGAGGAGCACACCACACCAAAAAACAGACATCTCTCAGTGTTGTCCTCAGGCCAAATCAGGGAGAGACACTTGTAATCCTGTCCCCAGCTCCCCTTGAATTTACCTGAAATTCAATTGCCAGTCAAGCAGGTGCTTCACATCAAGAGGGGTTACTCCTCTATTTTCTTGGGATTTCATCCTGGGAGATAGATTGTGAGTAGCAATCAGGTCAGATAGGGGTGAGGATACAATCTGGTGAGTGGTGGATATGGTACCACATCTTCACCTGCAAGCAAATGAAGACAAATGAAACAGAAGTTGCTTCCAACTCTATCCCCATATGTTCATATGGGAGTACTCCAACGTGTAAGGAACATTTGGTGTGCAAATTGGGACCATCCTGGCAAACTCCTGATTTGAAAGCTTTCATACCAGGAGCCAAATGGGAGTGGAATGAATTGATGCTGGATGTGATGTGACCTCCACACTTCCCTCTTCATTTCCTGATTTCCATGTTCCTCAGTGGTCTAGGGTTTCTTGTGTCTGGCTCAATGACTTCCACACTAAACATTTCCCAGTTCATGGAGAATGACCATCATAGGAATCCACTGGGGGATATTTTCCTTCTAAACATTTTCATGTTTAATGACTGGGCAGCTTTGATAATTTTAAAATGGTAAATTCCCATTACAGCTTCCAACAAGAAAACTCTTGTTCTCCCATTTCTATTGGAGGGCTGAATAATTATTGCAGGATGAGAAGCAAGTGGATGTGCGTGGGTTTTTACCTGGTAATCTAGCCTCTGTTTCATTTCATCTGCATGACCTTCTCATTGTGGAGGTGCTCTTTCATTGAGCCACTGCTGGATGGGATTGCCTTTCACCACAGATTATTTATCTGACAGGGATTTCAGACAGCAAAAGGGACATCAGGGAGCCTGGCTGCACTTAAGTTTGTGGTTCATGGTCTCGTTTTGGGGGCTGAGGTTGCTTGCAATTTGCAGGAGGTTTTGGGGTCCTCTGACAGGAATCTTTGAACATTGCTTTGACTCCAGCATTCACACAAACACACACACACACACACACACACACACAACATAAACCCTCAGTGCTGCACACACATGCAGACATCCAAAACTTGAACACTCACAGAAACACACAACCAGGCAGCTTCTGAGGCTGCATAATTTGGCAGAGAGCCCCACCTCAGAAAGAGCAACCCCAAGGAAAACAGGCAGGCTGTGCTTATCAATCACAGTGGGGAAAGTTTCAAAAACACCTCACCAACATCTAGGCACTTCTGAAAAATCCTGCGAACATTTTTGGATCCTTAGGGATTTTGCGGTTTATTCCTGGAGCTGTGCTTGAGGTTTATTCAGGCTGGCTCCCATCTGCCCTCTCCTAGGATTATGGAAATATCCCATGGATCCCACAGAAAAGACAGGCAAGTCACTACACACCTCCACAGTGGTCTCCTTCATTGAAAAGCTGCAGGAACTTGTCGGGAGGCAATGGTGACATTCATTGTGACCTTAGCCAGAGCTCACAATCAACCATGGTGCACTGAGACTAGCTCATGCACATTCATCAGGCAGATTCAGGCACCTGGCTGTCAGAGCTGTCAGCCTTCCTCAGTAGAGGAAAATGCTACAGTCAGCACTGGCCTGGTATCAGGAAAATAGATGCCTGCAAAAACCCACTGTGGGACCCTAAAAGTCTTGACCTCAGGTCCCCTTTGTGCTGTCTCTGTTGTCAGGATCCACTAAAGGAGGAAGTGTATCAAGACTCTGAGGTGGTCTGTGGAAACTGCTCTTCTGTCTCCATTCTCTCAGGCAAGCCTTAATTTTTCTTTGCTTTCATGGACAATCCGCAGTGCCCCTTAACACCACTACTGGACACCGTTTTTAGGCTTGCCATCACCACAGATGGCCTCTGAGACACTGTCTGAACCACATCTTCACCAGTGAGAGGCCAGTCTGAGGGGTGAGAACAATGCTCCACATTTGACTAGCCTTTATTGTGGCTCCTGCCCTTCCCAGAGAGTCCATGGGAGGCCCAGGATAAAGGGAGGCAGTGAGTTCAAGGGCCTGGTCATCTTTCACTGACACAAGCCCCTGGGGTTTCAGGTATGATTCTATCACCCAAAGAACCCTCAACAATAATTCAGACTATACTCCAATCTCCACAGGACCCAATTATTGCACACAGCCTTTCAAAAATGGAGACAGAAGAGCAGTTTCCACAGACCACCTCAGAGTCTTGATACACTTCCTCCTTTAGTGGATCCTGACAACAGAGACAGCACAAAGGGGACCTGAGGTCAAGACTTTTAGGGTCCCACAGTGGGTTTTTGCAGGCATCTATTTTCCTGATACCAGGCCAGTGCCGACTGTAGCATTTTCCTCTACTGAGGAAGGCTGACAGCTCTGACAGCCAGGTGTCTGAATCTGCCTGATGAATGTGCATGAGCTAGTCTCAGTGCACCATGGTTGATTGTGAGCTCTGGCTAAGGTCACAATGAATGTCACCATTGCCTCCCGACAAGTTCCTGAAGCTTGTCAATGAAGGAGAGCACTGTGGATGTGTGTAGTGACTTGCTTGTCTTTTCTGTGGGATCCATGGGATATTTCCATAATCCTAGGAGAGGGCAGATGGGAGCCAGCCTGAATAAACCTCAAGCACAGCTCCAGGAATAAACCGCAAAATCCCTAAGCATCCAAAAATGTTCGCAGGATTATTCAGAAGTGCCTAGATGTTGTTGAGGTGTTGTTGAAACTTTCCCCACTGTGATTGATAAGCACAGCCTGCCTGTTTTCCTTGGGGTTGCTCTTTCCGAGGTGGGGCTCTCTGCCAAATTATGCAGCCTCAGAAGCTGCCTGGTTGTGTGTTTCTGTGAGTGTTGCAAGTTTTGGATGTCTGCATGTGTGTGCAGCACTGAGGGTTTATGTTGTGTGTGTGTGTGTGTGTGTGTGTGTGTTTGTGCCTATAAGTGGAGTCTACTTAAAGAAATGTAGCTCACCCACTTAGGCGTTACTTTTTATGAGTCTTAAACCCTTTTGACGGCTTTTCTGTGTGGCTCTGATTGTGCTATGAGGCTCCTTGTTCTTTATTTTTCTGTGGATCATGAATTTGAAGTGAATTGGGAGGCTTACAAAGTCTCGCTGGTGTCCAAATAACCTACCCCTGCAAAAAAAAAACACTCCTCTAGAAAGAAGGAGCACAACACACAAAACCAGACATCTTCCAGTGTTTCATTGTCCTGTGGCCAACGCAGGTAAAAGTACTAGCAGTACTGTCCATATTTATCTCAAATTCGGTTGCCAGCTGAGGAGGTGCTTCATGTCATGGGAGGGCACTCCTCCATCATCTTGGAATTTCATCCTGGAACATAGAGTGTGAGTAGCAGTAAGGTCAGTTATGGGTGAGGATACAATGGTGAGGAGAGGATGGGATCCCACAACTTCACCTGAAATAAAAATGAAGACAGATGACATAGAAGGTGCTTCTAACTCCATCCCTGCATTCCCTTAATTACACATTCAGTCCATGCCTTGGCCTGGTGTTCAGATGGGAGTACTCCAATGTCCAAGGAACATCTGGAGTGCTAATTGGGGATATAATGGCATACTCCTTCTTTGAGGGCTTTCATACTCGGAGACAAATGTGAGTGGAATGGCTTGATGCTGTGTAGGATATGGACCTCCATGTTTACCTCTTCTTTTTTTGATGTCCATGTACTTTACTGGCCTAGAATTTTCTGCTTCTGTCTCAAGGACTTCCACACAAAATGTTTCCCAGTTCATGAAGAAATACCCTCATGGAAATCCATTCCATGAGTGTTTCCTTCTAAACACTGTCACGTTTTAATGACTTAGAAGCTACAGTAAATTCCCATTACAGCCATGAGCAAGGAAACTCTTGTTCTCCCACTTCTATCAGAGTGCTGCATGATTTCTGTAGGATGAGAAACAGACAGCCATGTCTAGCTTTTGGCTGGCAGTCTATCCTCTATTTTATTTTATCTGCACAGCCTCCTCATTGTGGATGGTGTTTTTCATTGGGCTTTTGCTGGGTGGGACTGCCCTTTGCCAAAGATTATTTAGCTGCTAACTATTTAAGAGAGCAAAATTGACTTTGGGTAGCCTGGCTGTGCTTTAGGTTGTGGGTGGTTTTCTGGTTGTGGGGGATGAGGTGGTTTGAACTTTGCTGGAGGGTGTTGGGTCCCCTTACAGGAATAATTGAACATTGCTTTGACTCTATCACAAGGAAGCTCGTTCTCTCAGGAAACCCTTGATTTTGTTTGTTTGTTTTCATGGGGAATCCACTGTGCCCCTCAACAGCACTAGTGGACACCTTTTTCAGGATTGCCATCACCACAGACTACCTCAGAGACACTGTCTCAACCTCATCTCAGTCTTGAGCAGTGAGTCCGAAGTGTGGGAACACTGATCCACCTTGGACTTGCCTCTTTCATGGTTCCTGCCTTTCCCAAAGTGCCCCTGGGAGGCATAGAATGAAGGGAGGAAGTGAGTTAAAGGTCCTGGCCATTTTCACTGACACCCACCTCTGGGGTCTCAGATATGATTCTATCACGCAAGGAACCATCAAAAACAAACCAGACAGTATTCCAGTCTCAATGGGACCTGATTCTTGCACACGGCCTTTTTCAGGAATTGAGTCAGAAGAGCAGTTTTCAGCGACCACCTCACAGTCTGAAAACCCCTCCTCCTCCAGCAAAACATGACAATGGAGACACACCAAAAGGGCCCTGAGGTCCAGACTTTTAAGATCCCGCAGTGGGTTTTCACAGGCAGCCTTTTCCTGATACCAGGTTGGCTCTGGCTGTACTATTTGCCTCTGCTTAGGCAGGCTGGCAGCTGTTACAGGCAGGTGCCTGAGACCGCCTCAAGAATGCCCATGTCCTAATCTCAGGGCACCAGGCTTAATTGTGAGCTATATCAAGCATTACAATGAATGTCATCTTTGCCTAGCTCAAGTCCCTGTGGATTGGTGGAATAGGAGACCTCTGTGGGGGAGGGTCTGCGGAGGACTCTCACCTGTCTTCTCTTTGGAATCCTCGACATAGTCCCATGATCCTAGGAAAGCATAGACATGAGCCAGCCTGAAGAAACCTCAAGCACAGCCCTAGGATTAAGCAGCAAAATCCATAAGGATCCAAAAGGATCTGCAGGTTCCGTCAGGCCTGCCTAGATGTTGTAGGGGTGACTCTTTTTGAAACTTGGCCTGTGATTCATAGGTACATATAATGCCTGTGTTCTCCAGGGTTGCTCTCTTCCAGGTGGGGCTTCCTGCAGAACCATGAAGCCTCAAGAAGTGCAGGGCTGTGTGTGTCTGTGACAGAGTTGTGAGTATTGGATGTTTGCATGTGTGTGTGGCTTTGTGGGTTTTTGTGTCTGTGTGTATGTCTATGTGTGCCTGTAAGTAGAGTCTGCTTAAAGGAATGTGGATAATGAACTTCAGCCCTTCTTTTTTTTTGAGACTCCAAACTTTTGGTGGCCTGTCTGTGTGGCTCTGCTTGAGATGCTGGGCTCAGTGTTCTTTATTTTTCTGTGGATCATAAATTCACAGTGAATTGGGAGGCAGGCTAAGGCATGCTGGCATCCAATCACCTCCCCATGCAAAAAAAAAGCCACTCTTCTAGAAAGAAGAGGAGCACACCACACCAAAAATCAGACTTCTCCCAGAGATTCATTGTCCTGAGGGAAACCCAGGGAACACTCTAGCAGTCTTGTTTACAGGGCCTTTTGAATTTACCTTGAATTCGGTTCTCAGCCAAGCAGTTGCTTCAGGTCATGAGGGGCACTTTCCATTGTCTGTGGGATTTCACCATAGGACATAGAGTGTCAGCAGTGATAAGGCAGCAGCAATAAGATAAAAGTGGGGATACAATCTGGTGAGGGGTAGATGGGGTCCTGCAACTTCAGCTGAAAAAAAAAAGACAGATCACACAGAATGTGCTTCCAACTCCATTTCTGCATTCCCTTAATAGCACATATAGACCACACCATGGCCCAGTTTTCAGGTGGGAGTATTCCAACGTGTAAGGAACATTTGGAGTGCAAATTGGGGTTATCCTGGCAAACTCCTGATTTTAGGGCTTTCATAGCTATAGCCAAATAAAATTGCAATAGATTGATGCTGGGTGCAAGACAGCCTGAAGAAACATCAAGCAGAGCCCCGGGAATAAAGTGTGAAATCTCTAAGGATCAAAAAGGACCTGCAAAAGGCCTCAGGCCTGCCTAGACATTGTATCAGTTAATCTTTTTGAAACTTATTCCACTATGATTTCTAGGTTCAGCCGACCTGTGTTCCCTAGAGTTGTTCTCTTCCAAGTGGGGCTTCTGGCAGAACAACACAGCCTCAGAAGCTCTCGGGCTGTGTTTCTGTGGGAGTGTTGGGAGTGTTGGTGTGGCTTTGTATGTGCATGTGTTTGTGTGTGTGCCTGTAAGTGGAATCTGCTTAAAGGAATATGGCTATTGCACTGCAGTGCTTCTTAGTTTTGAATCTCCCAAACTTTTGGTGGCCTCTCTGTGTGGCCCTGCTTGGTCTGCAGGACTCCGTGTTCTTTATTTTTTTGTGGATCATGAATCTGCAGTGAATTGGGAGGGTGGCTGAAACATGTCAAAATCAAATTATGGCCCCCTTGGGAAAAAACAAACACACAAACAAACAAACAGAAACACTCTTCTAGAAAAAAGAAGAGAAAACCACACTGAAGAACAGACATCCCCAAGTGTTTCATGTTCTGAAGCATACCCAGGGAGAGACAGTAACAGTCCTGTCCACAGGCCACTTGCATTTACTTCAAATTTGATTCTCAGCCAAGCAGGTGCTTTTCATTATAATGGGGCTAGCCTCTATCAGGATTTTATTCTAGGACAGAGAGTGCTAGCAGCAATAAGATCAGATTGGTGGGAAGATACAATCTGGTGAGCAGTGGATGGGGAACCACACATTCACCTGTAAAAATGGTGAAGACAGATTACACAGAAGGTGCTTCCAACTGCATATTTGCATTCCCTTAATTACACAAGCCATCAACACCATGGCCCAGTGTTCAGGTGGGAGTACTTCAATGTGCAGGGAACATTGGTAGTGCAAACTTGGACCATCCTGGAAAACTCCCAATTGGAGGGCTTTTGTACCTGGAGAGAAAAAAAAAAGTGGGATGCATTGATCCTGGAGGGCATGTGGACTCCACACTTGCCTCTTCTTTTCCCGACTTTCGTGTTCCTTGTTGGCGTAGAGTTTCCTAGGCCTGGTTCAATGTCTTTCATAATAAATGCTTCCCAGTTCATGGATGACAACCCTCATAGGAATGGTTTGCATGTGTTTCCTTCTAAACACTATCACGATTTAATGACTGGGAATCTGTAATACTTTTAAAACAATAAATTCCCATTACAGATGCC